>NC_000002.12:91402511-91586419 GCF_000001405.40 Homo sapiens
GAATTCAAATGGAATCATCATTGAATGGAATCGAATGGAATCATCATCAAATGGAATCAAATAGAATCATCATCAAACGGAAGGGAAAGGAATCATTGAATGGACTCAAATGGAATCATCATCGAATGGAATTTAATATAATCTTCGAATGGACATGAATGGAATCATCATCAAATGGAACTGAATAAAATCTTCGAATGCACTCGAATGGAAACATCATAGAATCCAATCGAATGGAATCATCATCGAATAGAATCAAAAGGAATCATCATCGAAAGGAATCGAATGGAATCCTCGAATGGAATAGAATTGAATCATCATCAAATGGAATCGAATAAAATCATTGAATGAAATTGAATGGAATCATCATCGAATGGAATCATCATCAAATGGAATCGAATCAAATAATCAAATGGAATCGAATTGAATCATCAACGAATGGAATCAAATGGAATCATCGAATGGAATCCCATGTGATTATCATTGAATTGAACCCAATGGAATCATTGCATGGACTCGAAATGAATCATCGAATAGACTCAATTGGAATCATCATTGAATGGAATAGAAAGGAATCATCGAACGGAAACGAATGGAATCATCATTGAATGAAATCAAATGGAATCATCATATGGACTCGAATGGAATCATCATCGAACGGAATTGAAAGCAGTCGTCGAATGGTCTCGAATGGAATCATCATCAAATGAAATCAAAAGGAATCATTGAATGGACTCGAATGGAATCTTCATCGAATGGAATCGAATGGAATCATCAAATGGACACTAATGGAATCACCATCCAATGGAATCGAAAGGAATCATCGAATGGAATCGAATAGAATCTTCATTGAATAGCATCGAATGGAAACATCATTGAATGGAATCTAATGATATTATCATCAAAAGGAATCGAATGGAGTCATCATCTAATGAAATCGAATAGAATTAACAAGGAATGGAATCGAATGGAGAAATCGAATGGAATCCATTGGAATCATCATTGAATGGAACCGAGTGTAGTCATCAGGGAATGGAATCGAATGGAATCAAAGAAGGGACTCGAATGGAACCATCATTGAATGGAATTGGATGGAATCATTGAATGGGCTCGAATGGAATCATCGAATGGGCTGTAATGGAATCATCATCAAATGGAATCAAATGGAATCGAATGGAACCTTCGAATGGAATCTAATGGAATCATCATTGATTGGAATCGAATGGAATCATCAAATGGACTCGAATGGAATCATTGAATGCACTCGAATGGAATCATCATCGAATGGAATCGAGTGGAATCCTCAAATGGAATCAAATGGAATCATCAATTGGTATCGAATGCAATCATCATCGAATGGAATCGAATGGAATCATCGAATGGAATAAAACACAAACATCATCAAAAGGAATCGAATAGAATCATCATCGAATAGAATCAAATGGAATCATCAAATAGAATCAAATGGAATCATTGTCAAGTTTAATCGAGTGGAATCATCAAATGAAATCGAGTGGAATCATTGTTGAATGGAATGGAATGGAATCAATGAATAGAAATGAATGGAATCACCAATGAATGGAATCGAATGGAATCATCATCGTATGGAATTGAATGGAATCATCGAATGGATTCAAACGGAATCATCATTGAATGGAATCACATGGAATCATCATCGAATGGAATCACACGGAATCGTCATCGACGGGAACTGAGTGGAATGAAATTTGGACTCGAATGGAATCATCAAATGGACTCGAAGGGAAGCGTTGAATGGACTCGATTGGAATCATCATCGAATGGAATCAAAGGGAATCATCGAATGGAATCGAATGGAATCATCATTGAACGAAATCGAATTTACTCATCTAATGCACTAGAATGGAATCATCATCGAATAGAATTGAAAGAAATCATAGAATGGACTCGAATGGAATCATCATAATATGAAATTGCATTGAATCTTCGAATGGACTCAAATGGAGTCATCATCGAATGGAATCGAATGGATTCATTGAATGGACTCGAATGCAATAATCATTGAAAGGAATGGAAAGGAATCATCAAACGAAATCAATGGAATCTTCATCGAATGAAATCAAATGGAATAATCAAATGGCAGTGAATGGAATCATCATCGAATGGAATCACATGGAATCATCTAACGGACACAAGTGGAATGATCATCAAATGGAATCGAATGGAAACATTGAATGGACACAAACGGAATCATCACCGAATGGAATCGAATGGAATCATAATCAAATGGAATTGAATAGAATAATCATTGAATGGAATCGAAAGGAATCATCGAACAGAAAAGAATGGAATCATCATCGAATGGAATCAAATAGAATCATCGAATGAAATAAAATGGAATCATCATCGAATGGAATCGAATGGCATCATCATTGAATGGAATCGAATGGAATAATCATCGAATGTAATTGAATGTAATTATCATTGAAAGGAATTGAATGGATTCATCATCTAATGGAACCAGAGTCATCATCAAATGGAATTGCATGGAATCATAATCGAATGGAATTGAATGGAATCGAATGGAATCTTCAAATGGACTCAAATGCAATCATCGACTGAGCTTCAATGGAATCATCATGGAATGGAATCAAATGTAATCATCAAATGGACTCGAATGGAATCATCATCAAATGGAATCAGATGGAATCATCGAATGGATTTGAATGGAATCATCGAATGGACTTGAATGCAATCCTCATTGAATGGAATTGAATGGAATAATCGAATAGTCTCAAATGGAATCATCATCGAATGGAATTGAATGGAATCATCATCGAAAGAAATCGAATGGAATCATCGAATGGACTCGAATGGAATCATCATCAAATGAAATTGCATTGAATCTTCGAATGGAATCAAATGGAGTCATCATCGAAAGGACTCGAATGGAAGAATCATCGAACAGAATGGAAAGGAATCATCAAAAGATATCAATGGAATCATCATCGAATGAAATCAAATGGAATAATCAAATGGCACCGAATGGAATCATCATCAAATGGAATCAAATGGAATCATCTAACGGACTCAAGTGGAATACGTATCGAATGAAATCGAATGGAAACATTGAATGGAACAAATGGAATCATCATCGAATGGAATCGAATGTAATCATCATCAAATGTAATCGAATAGAATCATCATCGAATGGAATCGAATGGAATCATCAAACGGAATAGAATGGAATCATCAACGAATGGAATCAAATAGAATCCTCGAATAAAATAAAATGGAATAATCATCGAATGGAATCGAATGGCATCAACATCGAATGGAATTGAATGGAATCATCTTTGAAAGGAATCGAATGGATTCATCATCAAATGGAACCGAACAGAGTCATCATTGAATGCAACTGACTGGAATCGTAATCAAATGAAATCGAATGGAATCTTCGAATTGACTCAAATGCAATCATTGACTGGGCTTCAATGGAATCATCATGGAATGGAATTGAATGTAATCATCGAATGGACTCGAATGAAATCATCATCAAATGGAATCAGATGACTTGAAATGGACTTGAATGGAATCATCTAATGGACACGAATGGAATCATCATCGAATGGAATCGAATGGAATCATTGAATGGAATCGAATGGAATCATCTAATGGACATGAATGGAATCATCATTGAATGGAATTGAATGGTATCATCGAATGGTCTTGAATGGAATCATCATCAAATGGAATCGAATAAAATCGGCATGAATACAATCGAATGGAGTCATCATTGAATGGAATCGAACAGAATCATCATCAAATAGAATTGAATGGGATCATCGAATGAAACAGAATGGAATCATCATCAAAAGGAATGAAAGTAAAACGAAGAATGGAATACAACAGACTCATTGAATGGAATTGAATGGAATCATCATTGAAAGGACTCGAATGGAGTTATCATCGAATGGAATTGAATGGAATCATTTAATGGACTCGAATGGAATCAACTTCGAGTGGAAACAAAAGGAAACATCTAATGGACTTGAATGGAATCATCACCTAATGGAATCGAATGGAATCATCAGCAAATGGAATCGAAAGGAATCATCATGGAATAGAATTGAATGGAAACATCGAATGGAATGGAATGGAGTCATCATGGAAAGGAATCGAAGGGAATCATCAAATAGAATCAAACTGAATCATTGAATGGAATCGAATGGAATCATCATCAAATGGACTTGAATGCAATTATCATCAAAAGGAATCAAATGGAATCATCGAATGGACTCGAATGGAATAATCGAATGGACTTCAATGGAATCATCAAATGGAATTGAATGGAATCATCGAATGGACTCGAATGGAATCATCATCAAATGAAATTGGATGGAATCAATGAATGGATTCAAATGGAATCATCAAATGGACACAAATGGAATCATCACTGAATAGAATCACATGGAATCAACATGAAATGGAATTGAATAGAATCATCATTGAATGGAATCATATGGAATCATTGCACGGAAGAGAATGGAATCATCATCGAAAGGAATCAAATAGAATCATCGAATGAAATCAAACGGAGTCATCATCAAATGGAATCGAATGGAATCATCATCGAATGTAATTGAATGGAATCATCATTTAAAGGAATCGAATGGATTCATCATCAAATGGAACCGAACAGAGTCATCATCGAATGGAATTGAATGGAATCATCATCGAATGGAATCGAATGGAATCATCAAATGGAACGAATGCAATCATCAAATGTGCTTCAATGGAATCATCATGGAATGGAATCGAGTGGAATCATCGAATGGGCTCGAATGGAATCATCATCGAATGGAAACAGATGGAATCATAGAATGGACTTGAATGGAATCATCGAATGGACTCGAATGGAATCACCATTGAATAGAATTGAATGGAATCATCAAACGGTCTCGAATGGAATCATAATCGAATGGAATCGAATGGAATCATCATCCAAATGAATCGAATAGAGTCGGCATCGAATAGAATCGAATGGAATCATCATCGAATGGAATTGAATGGAATTTTCATCAAATGGAATTGAATGGAATCATCATTGAATGGAATCGAATGGAATCACCATGGAATGGAATCCAATGAAATCATCATCGAATGGAATTGAATGTAATCATAATCGAATGGAATCGAATGGAATCATCAATGAATGGAATCGAATGGTGTCATCGAATGGAATCAGTTGGAATCATCATCAAATGGAACCGAATGCAGACATCATCGAATGGAATCGGATGGAATTATCGAATGGACTGGAATGGAATCATCATTGAATGGTATCGAATGGAATCTTCGAATAGACTCAAAAGCAATCATCGAATGGACTCGAATGGAATCATTATTGAATAGTATCAAATAGAATCATCGAATGGACTCCAATGGAATTATCATAGAATGGAATCGAATGGAATCATTGAATGGACTCTAATGGAATCATCATCTAATGGAATTGAACGGAATCATCGAATGGAATGGAATGGAATCATCATCGAATGGAATCAAATGGAAATATCATCAAACGGAATTGAAAGAATCAACATCAAATGGAGTCGAAAGGAATAATCTTCGAATGGAAATGAAAGGAGTCATCATCCAATGGAATCGTATGGAATCATCATCAAATGGAATCGAATGGAATCATCACCAAATGCATTCTAATGGAATCATCTAATGGAATTGAATAGAATCATCATCGAATGAAGTGAATGGAATCATCGAATGGTCTCGAAAGCAATCATCATCGAATGAAATCGAATGGAATCATCGTCGAATGGAATTGAATAGAATCAGCATCGAATAAAATCGAATGGAATCATCAATGAATGGAAACGAATGGAATTTTCATCCAATGCAATCGAATGGAATCATCATCAAATAGAATCGAATGGGATCATCAAATGAAATCAAACGGAATCATCACCAAAATGAATCGAAAAAAAAACAAAGAATGGAATCCAACGTTATCATCGAATGGAATCGACTGGAATCATCATTGAATGGACTCGAATGGAGTCATCATCGAATGGAAACGAATGGAATCATTTAATGGACTCGAATGTAATCAATGAATGGACTTGAATGGAATCATCGAAAGGAATCGAATGGAATCATCACCGAATGAAATCAAATGGAATCATCGAATGGACTCGAATGGAATGATCATCGAATGGAGTCGAATGAAATCATGGAATGCACTTGAATGGAATCATCGAACGGACTCAAATGGAATCAATATCGAGTGGAATCGAAAGAAAACATCGAATGGACTTGAATGGAATCATCGAATGGACTCAAATGGAATCATCAAATGGAATTGAAAGTAATCTTAGAATGGACTTAAATGGAATCATTGAATGTACTCAAATGGAATCATCATCGAATGGAATCGAATGGAATCATCGAATGAACCCGAATGGAATCACCATCAAATGGAATCGAATGGAATCATCGAATGGAATCCAATGGAATCATCATTGAATGGAATCGAATGGAATCATCATCGAATGGAATCATCATTGAATGGAAAGAGATGGAATCATAGAATGGACTTGAATGGAATCATCGAATGGACTCGAATGGAATCACCATTGAATAGAATTGAATGGAATCATCGAACGGTCTCGAATGGAATCATAATTGAATGGAATCGAATGGAATCATCAAATGGAATCGAATGGAATCATCATCCAAATGAATCGAATAGAGTCAGCATCGAATAGAATCGAATGGAATCATCATCGAATGGAATTGAATGGAATTTTCATCAAATGGAATTGAATGGAATCATCATTGAATGGAATCGAATGGAATCATCATGGAATGGAATCCAATGAAATCATCATCGAATGGAATTGAATGTAATCATAATCGAATGGAATCGAATGGAATCATCAATGAATGGAATCGAATGGTGTCATTGAATGGAATCCATTGGAATCATCATCAAATGGAACTGAGTGCAGACATCATCGAATGGAATCGGATGGAATTATTGAATGGACTGGAATGGAAACATCATTGAATGGTATTGAATGGAATCTTCGAATAGACTCAAAAGCAATCATCGAATGGACTCGAATGGAATCATTATTGAATAGAATCAAATAGAATCATCGAATGGACTCCAATGGAATTATCATAGAATGGAATCGAATGGAATCATTGAATGGACTCTAATGGAATCATCATCTAATGGAATTGAATGGAATCATCGAATGGAATGGAATGGAATCATCATCGAATGGAATCAAATGGAAACATCATCAAACGGAATTGAAAGAATCAACATCAAATGGAGTCGAAAGGAATAATCATCGAATGGAAATGAAAGGAGTCATCATCCAATGGAATCGTATGGAATCATCATCGAATGGAATCGAATGGAATCGTCATCAAATGGATTCTAATGGAATCATCTAATGGAATTGAATGGAATCATCATCGAATGAAGTGAATGGAATCATCGAATGGTCTCGAAAGGAATCATCATCGAATGAAATCGAATGGAATCATCGTTGAATGGAATTGAATAGAATCAGCATCGAATAGAATAGAATGGAATCATCAATGAATGGAAATGAATGGAATTTTCATCCAATGGAATCGAATGGAATCATCATCAAATAGAATCGAATGGGATCATCAAATGAAATCAAACGGAATCATCACCAAAATGTATCGAAATGAAACAAAGAATGGAATCCAACGTTATCATCGAATGGAATCTTCTGGAATCATCCTTGAATGGACTCGAATGGAGTCATCATCGAATGGAAACGAATGAAATCATTTAATGGACTCGAATATAATCAATGAATGGACTTGAATGGAATCATCGAATGGAATCAAATGGAATCATCACCAAATGAAATCAAATGGAATCATCAAATGGACTCGAATGGAATCATCATGGAATGCACTCGAATGGAATCATCGAATGGACTCAAATGGAATCAATATTGATTGGAATCAAAAGAAAACATTGAATGGACTTGAACGGAATCATCGAATGGACTCAAATGGAATCATCAAATGGAAATGAAAGTAATCTTCGAATGGACTTAAATGGAATCATTGAATGTACTCGAATGGAATCATCATCGAATGGAATCGAATGGAATCATCGAATGGACCCGAATGGAATCACCATCGAATGGAATCGAATGGAATCATCATCGAATGGAATAGAATGCAATCATCATCAAATGGAAAAGAATGGAATCATCAACGAATGGAATCAAATGGAGAAACCGAATGAAATCCATTGGAATCATCAGATGGAACCGAATGCAGTCATCATCGAATGGAATCGAATGGACTCATCAAATGGAATAGAAGGGAATCATCATTGAATGTAATTGAGTGGAATCACCGAATGGGCTCGAATGGAATCATCATCAAATGGAAAGAAATGGAGTCAAATGGAATCATTGAATGGACACGAATGGAATCATTGTTGAATGGAATCGAATGGAATCATCATCAAATGGAATCTAATGGAATCATCAAATGGACTCAAAAGAAATCATCAAATGGACTTGAGTGGAAGCATCATCGAATGGAATCGAATGGAATCATCGAATGGACCCGAATGGAATCACCATCGAATGGAATCGAATGGAATCATCAAATGGATTAGAAGGGAATCATCATCGAATGTAATTGAGTGGAATCACCGAATGGGCTCGAATGGAATCATCATCAAATGGAATGAAATGGAATCAAATGGAATCATTGAATGGACATGAATGGAATCATTGTTGAATGGAATCGAATGGAATCATCATCGAATGGAATCTAATGGAATCATCAAATGGACTCAAAAGAAATCATCAAATGGACTTGAGTGGAATCATCATCGAATGGAATCGAATGGAATCATCTAATGGAATCGAATGGAATCATCATCGAATGGAATTGAATGAAATCATAATCGAATGGAATCGAATGGAATCATCATCGAATGGAGTCAAATGGAATCATCATTGAATACAATCGAATGGAATCACCGAATTGAATCAAATGGAATGATCATCGAATGGAATCAAAGGGAATCATCGAATGGGATCGAACGGAATCAACATTGAATGGAATCGAATGGAATCATAGAACGGTACCGAATGGAATCATCATCAAATGGAATCGAATGGAATCATTATCGAATGGAATCGAAAGCAGTTACTGATTGGACTCATATAGAATCATTGAATGGACTTGAATTGAAGCATCATCAAATGGAGTAGAATGGAATCATCGAATGGACACAAATGGAATCATCATCAAATTGAATTGAATGGAATCATCTAATGGACTCGAATGGAATCATCATTGAAAGAAATCAAATGGAATCATCATCGAATGGAATCAAATGGATTCATCTAACGGACACGAATGGAATCATCACTGAATGGAATAAAATGGAATCATAATCAAATGGAATTGAAAGGATTCATCTAATGGACCCGAATGGAATCACCATTGTATTGAATAGAATGGAATCATCATCGAATGGAATCGAATGGAATCATATAATGGACACGAATAGCATCATCATTGAATGGAATCTAATGGAATCATCTAATGTACTCGAATGGAATCATCATCTAATGGAATAGAATGGAATCATCGAATGGAATCGAATGGAGTCATCATCCTATGGAATTGAGTGGAATTATCGAATGAACTCGAAAGTAATCATCGGTGAATGGAATCGAAAGGAATCATCTAATGGACTCAAATGGAATCAACATAGAATGGAATATAATGGAATCATCATTGAATGGAATCAAATGGAATCATCTAACGGACCCGAATGGAATTATCACTGAATGGAAAAAAATGGAATCAACATCGAATGGAATCAAATGGAATCATCTAATGGACACGAATGGAATCATCACTGGATTGAGTAGAATGGAATCATCATCAAAGGGAATCGAATGGAATCATCTAAAGGACACGAATAGCTTCATCATTGAATGGAATTGAATGGAATCATCTCATGTACTCGATTGGAATCATCATCTAATGGAATAGAATTGAATCATTGAATGGAATCAAATGGAGTCATCATCATATGGAATCGAGTGGAATCATCGAATGGACACGAAAGTAATCATCGGGTAATGGAATCGAATGGAATCATCGAATGGACTAGAATGGAATCATCATCGAGTGTAATCGAATGGAATCATCTAATGCACCCGAATGGAATCATCATCGAATGGAATCAAGTGGAATCATTGAATGGACTCGAATGAAATCATCATTGAATATAATCGAAAGCAATCATCAAATGGACTCAAATAGAATCATCAAATGGCTCGAATGGAATCAGCATCGAATGGAATCACATGGAATCACTGAATGGACTCGAATGGAATCGTCATCGAATGGAATCGAATGTAATCATCCAATGGACTCGAATGCAATCATCATCGAATGGAATCAAATGGAATCACTGAATGGACTCGAATGGAATCATCATCAAATGGAATTAAAGGGAATCATTGAATGCACACAAATGGAATCATCATTGAGTGGAATCGAATGGAATCATCATCGAATAAAATCAAATGGAATCATTGAATGTACTCGAATGGAATGATCATCGAATGGAATCATATGGAATCATCTAACTGACTTGAATGGAGTCATCATCGAATGGAATCGAATGGATTCATCGAATGGACTCGAATGGAATCATCATCGAATGATATCAAATGGAATCATCGAAACGACTCGAATGGAGTCATCATCAATTGGAATTGAATGGAATCATCAAATGGACTCGAATGGAATCAGTGTCAAATGAAATCGAATGGAATCATCGAATGGACTCTAATGGAATCATCATTGAATGGAATCAAATGGAATCACCGATTGGACACAAATGGAATCATCTAATGGACTCTAAGGGAATCATCTTTGAATGGAATCAAATTAAATCATCATCTGGTGGAATCGAATGGAATCATCACTGAATGGAATCGAATGGACTCATTGAATGGAATGAGATGGAATCATCATCGAATGGAATCAAATAGAAGCATCGCATGAAATCCAAAGTAATCATTAATGAACGGACTCAAATGGAATCATCAATGAATGGACTCGAATGGAATCATCGTTGAATGCAATCTAATGGAATCATCATCGAATGGAATCGAATGGAAACATCATTGAATTGAATCAAATGGAATCATGATGGAATTGAATTGAATGGCTCATCATCGAATGGAATCAAATGGAATCATCGAATGGAAACAAATGGAACCATCATCTAATGGCATCGCATGGAATCATCAAATGGAATCGAATGGAATCATCATCGAAAGGAATCAAATGAAACCATCAAATGAAATCGAATGGAATCACCATCGAATGGAGTCGAATGGAATCATTATCGAATGGAATCAATTGGAAGCATCAATTAAGAGAATCGAATGGAATCATCATCAAATGGTATCAAATGGAATCATCAACGAGTGGAATAGAATGGATTCATCAAATGGAATCCCATGGAATCATCATCAAATAGAACCGAATGGAATCATCGAATGGATTCGAATGGAATCATCATTGAATGGACTCGAATGGAATCATTATAGAATTGAATCGAATGGTGTCATTGAATGGACTCAAGTGGAATCATCGAATGGACTCGAATGGAAACATCATCGAATGGAGTCAAATGGAATCATTGAATGGCATTGAATAGCATCATCAATGAATGGCACCTAAGGGAAGAATCAAATGGACTCGAATGGAATCATGGAAAGGACTCGAGTGGAATCATCATCGTATGGAATCTTCGAATGGACTCCAATGGAATTATCATCGAATGGAATCAAATGGAATCATAGAATGGAATCGAATTGAATCATCAAATGGACTCGAATGGAATCATTGTCAAATGGAATCTAATGGAATCATCGAATGGACTTGAATGGAATCATCATCGAA
This sequence comes from Homo sapiens, assembly GCF_000001405.40. Taxonomy (NCBI): domain Eukaryota; kingdom Metazoa; phylum Chordata; class Mammalia; order Primates; family Hominidae; genus Homo; species Homo sapiens. Next base: position 91,414,521 of record NC_000002.12, read on the forward strand.
TGGGATCGAATGAAATCATTGAATGGCATCTAATGGAATCATCATTGAATGGAATGGAATGAAATCATCTAATGGATTCAAATGGAATCATCATCGAATGGTATCGAATGGAATCTATGAAAGGACTCGATTGAAATTTTCATCGAATGCAATCGAATGGAGTCATCATCGAATGGAATCGAATGGAACAATCATCGAATGGAATTGAATGGAATCATCCAATGGAATATAATTGTATCATCATTGAATGGAATCAAATAGAATCATCGAATGAAATCGAATGAAATCATCATTGAGTGGAATTGAATGGAATAATCATAATTTGGAATCGAATGGAATCATCATCTAATGGAATAAAAAGGAATCATCTAATGGAACATAATTGAATCATCGTTGAATGGAATCGAATAGAATCATCGAATGAAATCGAGTGGAATAATAATCGAATGGAATCAAATGGAATCATCATCGAATGGAATCGAATGGAATCATCATCAAATGGAATCGAATGGAATCATCCAATGTAATAGAATTGAGTCACCATCGTATAGAATCATCGAATGAAATCAAATGGAATCATTATCGAATGGACTCGAACAGAATCATCATGGAATGGAATAGAATGGAATCATCGAATCGAATGGAATGGAATCATCAAATGAAATCAAATGGAATCATCGAATGGACTCGAATGGAATCATCATCGAATGGAATTGAAAGGAATCATCAAATGGACTTGAATGGAATCATTGAATGGACTCGAATGGGATCATCATCGAATGAAATTGAATGGAATCATTGAATGGACACGAATGGAATCATCATTGAATGGAATCAAATGGAATAGTCATCAAATGGAATCTAATGGAATCATCATCTAATGGAATCGAATGGAATCATCAATGAATGGAATCAAATGGAGAAATCGAATGGAATCTGCTGGAATCATCCTCGAATGGAAACGAAGGCAGTCATCATCGAATGGAATCGAATAGAATCATCATCAAATGGACTCGAATGCAATTATCATCGAATGGAATTGAATGGAATCATCGAATGGACTCGAATGGAATAATTGAATGGACTCGAATGGAATAATTGAATGGACTCAAATGGAATCATCAAATGGAATCAAATGGAATGATCGAATGAACTCGAATGGAATCATCATCTAATGGAATCAGATGGAATCATCGAATGGACTAGAATGGAATCATCAAATGGACTCGAATGGAATTATCCAATGGTCTCGAATGGAATCATCAAATGGACCCTAATGGAATCATCATCGAATGGAATCTAATGATTCCCTTCTAATCCATTTGATGATTCCATTCGATTCCATTCAATGATGACTGCATTCGGTTCCATATGATGATGATTCCAACGGATTTCGTTCGATTTCTCCATTTGATTCCATTCGTTGATGATTCCATTCTTTTCCATTTGATGATGATTCCATTATATTCCATTCGATGATGATTCCATTCGATTCCATTCGATGTTGATTCCATTCGGGTCCATTTGATGATTCCATTCGATTCCATTCCATGATGATTCCATTGAAGCCCAGTCGATGATTGCATTCGAGTCAATTCGAAGATTCCATTCGATTCCATTCGATGATGATTCCATTCAATTCCATTCGATGATGACTCTGTTCGGTTCCATTTGATGATGAATCCATTCGATTCCTTTAAATGATGATTCCATTCAATTACATTCGATGATGATTCCATTCGATTCCATTTGATGATGACTCCGTTTGATTTCATTCGATGATTCTATTTGATTCCTTTCGATGATGATTCCATTCTCTTCCGTGCAATGATTCCATATGATTCCATTCAATGATGATTCTATTCAATTCCATTTCATGTTGATTCCATGTGATTCTATTCAGTGATGATTCCATTTGTGTCCATTTGATGATTCCATTTGAATCCATTCATTGATTCCATCCAATTTCATTTGATGATGATTCCATTCGAGTCCATTCGATGATTCCATTCAATTCCATTTGATGATTCCATTGAAGTCCATTCGATTATTCCATTCGAGTCCATTCGATGATTCCATTTGATTCCTTTTGATGATAATTGCATTCAAGTCCATTTGATGATGATTCCATTCGATTCCATTCAATGATTCAGTTTGATTCTATTTGATGATTCCCTTCGATTCCTTTCCATGATGACTCCATTCCATTCCATTCGATGTTTCCATTCAATTCTATTCCATGATGATTCCTTTCGATTCCATTTGCTGATGATTCCATTCGATTCCATTAGGTGATGATTCCATTCAAGTCCATTAGATGTTTCCTTTTGTTTCCACTCGAAGTTGATTCCATTCGAGTCCATTAAATGATTCCATTCAATTCCATTCGATGATAACTCCATTCGAGTCCTTTCAATGATGATTCCATTCAATTCCATTCAATGAGTCTGTTGTATTCCATTCTTCGTTTTACTTTCATTCCTTTTGATGATGATTCCATTCTGTTTCATTCGATGATCCCATTCGATTCTATTTGATGATGATTCTGTTCGATTCCATTCAATGATGACTCCATTCGATTGTATTCATGCCGATTTTATTCGATTCCATTTGATGATGATTCCATTCAAGACCATTCGATGATACCATTCAATTCCATTCAATGATGATTCCATTCATGTCCATTAGATGATTCCATTCGATTCCATTCAATGATTCCATTCGATTCCATTTGATGATGATTCCATTCGTGTCCATTAGATGATTCCATTCAAGTCCATTTCAAGTCATCTGATTCCATTTGATGATGATTTCATTCGAGTCCATTCGATGATTACATTCAATTCCATTCCATGATGATTCCATTGAAGCCCAGTCAATGATTGCATTTGAGTCAATTCGAAGATTCCATTCGATTTCATTTGATTACGATTCCAGTCAGTTGCATTCAATGATGACTCTGTTCGGTTCCATTTGATGATGAATCCATTCGATTCCTTTCAAAGATGATTCCATTCAATTCCATTCGATGTTGATGCCATTCGATTCCATTCGATGATTATTCCATTTTATTTTATTCGAGGATTCTATTTGATTCCATTCGTTGATGATTCCATTCTATTCCGTTTGATGATTCCATTCGATTCCATTCGATGATGATTCTATTCGATTACATTTGATGATGATTACATTCGATTCCATTCGATGATGATTCCATTTGTTCCATTCAATGTTTCCATTCGATTTCATTCGATACGTATTCCACTTGAGTCCGTTAGATGATTCCATTTGATTCCATTTGATGATGATTCCATTCGGTGCCATTTGATTATTCCATTTGATTTCATTCGATGATGATTCCATTGATATCTTTTGATGATTCCTTTCCATTCTGTTCGATGATTCTTCCATTCGAGTCCTTTCGATGATGACTCCATTTGATTCCATTCGAAGATTCAATGCAATTTCATTTGATGATGATTCCATTCGAGTCCATTCGATGATTCCATTCGATTTCTTTCGATGATGATTCCATTCAATTCCATTCGATGATGATTCCATTTGAGACTATTCGATTATTCCATTCAATTCCATTCAATGAGGATTGCATTCAAGTCCATTCGATGATTCCATTCAAATCCATTCGATGATTCCATCTGATTCCATTTGATGATGATTCCATTCGAGTCCATTTGATGATTACATTTGATTCCATTCCATGATGATTCCATTGAAGCTCAGTCGATGATTGCATTTGAGTCCATTTGAAGATTCCATTCGATTCCATTCAATTCCATTCGATTATGATTCCATGCAATTCCATTTGATGATGACTCTGGTTCCATTAGATGATGAATCCATTCAATTCCTTTCAATGATAATTACATTCAATTACATTCGATGATTATTCCATTCGATTCCATTCAATGATGATGCCATTCGATTCCATTCGATGATGATTCCATTTTATTTCATTCGATGATTCTATTTGATTCCATTCGATGATGATTCCATTCTTTTCTGTTCGATGATTCCTTTCGATTCCATTCAATGATTATTCTATTCAATTCCATTTGATTATGATTCCATTCGATTCCATTCGGTGATGATTCCGTTTGTGTCCATTCAATGTTTCCATTCGATTCCATTTGATGATCATTCCACTTGTGTCCGTTAGATGATTCCATGTGATTCCATTCGATGATGATTCCATTCACTGCCATTTGATTATTCCATTTGATTTCATTCGATGAAGATTCCATTGATTTCGTTTGATGATTCCTTTCCATTCCTTTCAATGATTATTGCATTCGAGTCCATTCAATGAATCCATTCGATTCCATTCGATGATGACTCCATTTGAGTCCATTCGAAGATTCAATGCAATTTCATATTATGATGATTCCATTCGAGTCCATTCTATGATTTCTTTCAATTCTATTCGATGATGATTCCATTCTAGTGCATTAGATGAGTAAATTCGATTTCGTTCAATGATGATTCCATTCGATTCCATTCGATGATTCCCTTTGATTCCATTCGATGATGATTCCAATCGAGTCCATTCAACGCTTCCCTTCGAGTCCATTTGATGATTCCATTCGAGTCCAAATTTCATTCCACTCAGTTCCCGTCGATGACGATTCCGTGTGATTCCATTCGATGATGATTCCATGTGATTCCATTCAATGATGATTCCGTTTGAATCCATTCGATGATTCCATTCAATTCCATACGATGATGATTCCATTCGATTCCATTCATTGGTGATTCCATTCATTTCTATTCATTGATTCCATTCCATTCCATTCAACAATGATTCCACTCGATTTCATTTGATGATTCCACTCGATTAAACTTGACAATGATTCCATTTGATTCTATTTGATGATTCCATTTGATTCTATTCGATGATGATTCTATTCGATTCCTTTTGATGATGTTTGTGTTTTATTCCATTCGATGATTCCATTCGATTCCATTCGATGATGATTGCATTCGATACCAATTGATGATTCCATTTGATTCCATTTGAGGATTCCACTCGATTCCATTCGATGATGATTCCATTCGAGTGCATTCAATGATTCCATTCGAGTCCATTTGATGATTCCATTCGATTCCAATCAATGATGATTCCATTAGATTCCATTCGAAGGTTCCATTCGATTCCATTTGATTCCATTTGATGATGATTCCATTACAGCCCATTCGATGATTCCATTCGAGCCCATTCAATGATTCCATCCAATTCCATTCAATGATGGTTCCATTCGAGTCCCTTCTTTGATTCCATTCGATTCCATTCCCTGATGACTACACTCGGTTCCATTCAATGATGATTCCAATGGATTCCATTCGATTTCTCCATTCGATTCCATTCCTTGTTAATTCTATTCGATTTCATTAGATGATGACTCCATTCGATTCCTTTTGATGATAATATCATTAGATTCCATTCAATGATGTTTCCATTCGATGCTATTCAATGAAGATTCTATTCGATTCCATTCGATGATTCCTTTCGATTCCATTGGATGGTGATTCCATTAGTGTCCATTTGATGATTCCATTCGATTCCATTCGATGAAGATTCCATTCGAGTCCATTCAATGATTCCTTTTGATTTCATTTGATGATGATTCCATTCGAGACCATTCGACGACTGCTTTCAATTCCGTTCGATGATGATTCCATTCGAGTCCATATGATGATTCCATTTGATTTCATTCAATGATGATTCCATTCGTTTCCGTTCGATGATTCCTTTCTATTCCATTCAATGATGATTCCAATTGAGTCTATTCGATGATTCATTTCGAGTCCATGCAATGATTCCATTGGGTTCAATTCAATGATAATCACATGGGATTCCATTCGATGATTCCATTTGATTCCATTCGTTGATGATTCAATTCGATTCCATTTGATTATTTGATTCGATTCCATTTGATGATGATTCCATTCGATGATGATTCCATTCAATTTCATTCAATGATTTTATTCGATTCCATTTGATGATGATTCAATTCTATTCCATTCGAGGATTCCATTCGATTCCTTTCGATGATGATTCCTTTTGATTCTATTCGATGATGATTCCATTCGATTGGATTCTATGATGTTTCCATTCGAGTGCATTCGAAGATTTTATTCAGTTCCATTTGATGATGATTCCATTCATGTCCATTCGAAGATTATATTAAATTCCATTCGATGATGATTCCATTTGAGTCCATTCAATGATTCCTTTCCCTTCCGTTTGATGATGATTCTATTTGATTCCATTTGATGATGATTCCATTCGATTCCATTCAATGATGATTCCATTTGAATTCATTCGATGATTCTTTTGTTTCCATTCGGAGATGATTCTATTCTATTCCATTCAGTGATTCCATTCGATGATTATCCTATTCGATTCCATCTGATGATAATTCCCTTCGATTCCATTCGATAACAGTTCGATTCGTGTCCATTCAATGTTTCCATTCGATTCCATTTGATGATGATTCCATTCAAGTTCGTTAGATCACTCCATTCGATTCCATTCAATGATGATTCCATTCGATGATTACATACGATTTCATTCGATGATGATTCCATTCGAATCCCTTTGATGATTCCATTCCATTCCATTCAAAGTTGATTCCATTCGAGTGGATTCGATGATTCCATTCTATTCCATTCGATGATGATTCCATTCGAGTCCACTCGATAATTCAATGTGATTTCTTTTGATGATGAATACATTCGATTCTATTCAATGATTCCATTGGATACAATTTGATGATGATTCCATTCGAGTACATTCGATGATTGCATTCAATTCTATTCGATGATGATTCCATTCAATTCTATTCGATAATTCCATTTGATTCCATTCGATGACCATTCCATTCGAGTCCATTCGATGATTCCATTTCATTTCATTCTGTGATGATTCCATTTGAGTCCATTTGATGATTCCATTCGAATCGATTTGATGATTGTTTTCAATTATATTCGATGATGATTCCATTCGGTTTCATTCGATGATTCTATTCAATTCCTTTCTATGATTATTCAATTCTTTTCCATTTGATATTTCCATGTGCTTCCATTTGATGATGATTCCATTCGTTTGCATTCGATGATGATTCCATTCAGGTCCATTCAAAGATTCCATTCGATTCCATTCTATGATGATTGCATTCGAGTTCATTTGATGATTCCATTCGATTCCATTCGATGATGATTCCATTCGTTGCTATTCAATGATTCCATTCGATTCCATTTGCTGATGATTCCATTCGACTCCATTCAATGATTCCATTCGATTCCATTCAATGAAGATTCCATTCGAGTCCATTTGATGATTCTATTTAATTCCATTCGATGATGATTCCTCTCAAATCCATTTGATGATTCCATTCGAGTACATTCGATTATTCCATTTGATTTTATTCGATGATGATTCCATTCGATGCCATTCGATGATTCCATTCGATTCCATTCAATGGTGATTCCATTCGATGCCATTCGATGATTCCATTCAATCCTATTTGATGATGATTCCATTCGTGTCCATTCGATGATTCAGTTCGTTTCCATTCGATGATGATTCCATTTGAATCCATTTGATGATTCCTATCGATTCCATTTGATGACTCCGTTCAATCCCATTCGATGTTTCCCTTCGATTGTCTTTGATGATCATTCCATTAGATTCAATTTGGTGACTCCATTTGATGATGACTCCGTTCGATTCCATTCGATGATGATTCCATTCGATTCCATTTGATGATGATTCCATTCGATTCCATTTGACGATGATTCCATTCGAGTCCATTTGATGATTCCATTCGATTCCATTTGATGATGATTCCACTCAAGCCCATTCGATTATTCCATTCGAGTCCATTCAATGATTCCATTAGATTCCATTCTATGATGATTCCATTCGATGCCATTCGATGATTCCATTCGATTCCATTCAATGACGATTCTATTCATGTTCATTCGATGATTCCATTGGATTCCATTTAATGATGACTCCATTCGAGTCTATTCCATGATTCCATTCAATTCCATTCGCTGATGATTCCATCCGAATCCATTCGATGATTCCATTCGTTTCCCTTTGATGATTCCATTTGATCCCTTTCGATGATTCCCTTCAATTCCATTCGGTGATCTTTCCATTCGATTCAATTCATTGATTCAATTTGATTCCATACGATGATGATTCCATTCGATTCCATTTGATCATGAGTCCATTCGATTCCATTTGATCATGAGTCCATTTGATTCCATTTGCTGATTACTCTGTTCGGTTCCATTTAATGATGATTCCATTCAGTTCCATTTGATGATGGTTCCTTTAGATTCCATTCGATGATTCCATTCGATTACATTTGTTGATGATTCCATTCGATTCCATTCAATGATGATTCCATTCAATTCCATTTGATGATGATTCCGTTCGATTCCATTCAATGATTATTCCATCCAATTCCATTCGATGATGATTCCATTCAAGTCCATTGGATGATGATGCCTTTTGATTCCATTCAATGATGACTCCATTCGTTTCCATTCGATGGTGTTTCCATTTGATTCCATTCGATGATAATTCCATTCTATTCCATTCGATGATGATTCCATTCCATTCCATTCCACTACATTCCATTACATCTGATTCCATTCCACTCCATTCCACTCCTCTCCTCTCCACTCCACTCCATTGCATTCCATTCCATTCCTTTCTTTCGAGAGTGTATCATTCTTTCACCCATTGTGTAACACAATGGCACAATCTCATCTCCCATTCCATTCCATTCCTCTCCATTCAATTCCATTTGATTCCATTCCATTCCATTCCATTCCATTCCATTCCATTCCATTCCATTCCTTTCCATTCGAAGAAGAAAAGGAGTTGCAAAGTCATACTCACTTTTCTGCACTTGTCAGACAATTAAGATTTCTTTGAGTACTTCAGCCCTAATAATTTTCTTTTTATCATACATATTGCAGTGCTTATCTAATTTTAAATATATTTTTGTTTCAACATCCAGTTTCTTATTTGTTCTATCTGTATGTTTACAATATATTTTACTCTGTGTTCATTCTTTGATTTCAGAACTTCAACCTTTCTGAGGCATATTTTCAGAGTTTCTCTTTAGTTTCTTTAGTGGAATTCTGCTGGTTGCGTTTTGTTTTTTGTCTCTAAATATGTTATTTAGCCACAGGTTGATGAATATTTTTCTTCGTTTAGAAATTCAGAATGGCATTATTATTCTTAACAAATAATATTGTTTATTTTACCTTTCATTTTTTCAGATTTCAATATGATTAAAAGTAATTTCATTTTTCTAGTGCTAATTGAAATATTTTTCCCTTCATGGGTGTTTACTATTTCTCTAGGAGATACATAGGTGTAGGTTTATCTCCATTGTAGCTTGCTTAGCATGCATGGAGTTTTTGAATATGCAGATCAGTGTCTTACAAAGGTCTAGGGAACTTTCAGACAAAATACCAACACACATTGTCCCTTCCCAGTTCCCTTCTTCTATGAGAACACTCTCTAAACACATGCTACACTTTCTCACTGTATCTTCCATGTCTCTTCATCATTCTGTCCACATTTTACATTTTTCAAAATTTTCTGTAATGCATTCTGAAATATTTATGAACTCTCACCTTGGCCATGTCTAATCTGATGAGTTCATTTTTGAGTTTTTAATTTAAAATAACTACATTTTTATACAAACTTCTTTTCAAATTTGCTACATGAATTTTTTAGTCTCCTAACAATATATTCATTTTTTAAAAAATTTTTTGAAAGCAAATGTGCTTTATAATCTAACAGTGATATTTCTACTAATGAACCTTTGTGGATCTGTTTGTAGTCTTTTTCTGCTTTCCTTTCAAATGGTGGAATATCATTTCCTTGCATGCTTAGATGCCTTTGAATGACAAATATTTATTTTTCTCTGAAAATTATTTTTGTGCACTTTTGCAGATTAGTAAGTAGAAAATTTGCCAAAGAGAAGTTGAATTTTTTTGTGATTCTACTAAAGGCACCACCATTCTGGGACCACATTATGTTAATTCTTGGCCTAAAGGTGTTCGGACATATGTTTGGACTGCACATTTAAACAATTTTTAAATTAGTTGCTGTAAATCATTAATGATTGAGTTTCTTTAAATCCGTCCAATCTCAAGTCATTTTTATTTGCCATTTCCAGGGAATGTGAAATGGGACTAATTTACCTCTGATTCTTCCTTATACTGAGGATAGAAATGTTGGTCCTAGCTTTAGGGAGGAGCTCCTGTGTGATGCCCTATCTTGGGAAAATCTATGTATTTTTTTACTGTCCTATGTAATGTATGACAATAGGAATCTGCACTCATTCATTTTGCTACATGTCCGTAGGGAAAAATCAGTTTCCGTGTTTAGTTATATTTTGTCTGCTCCCTGCATTCCCATGGTTTTGACCTTATATTTTACTTTTATGTGTGAACATACCAGTGCTTCAAATTTTTTCCAGTAATATATTCAACTATATTATGAGAAAGAGAAAAATTTTGATAAAACACAAATTTCATGTTTTCCTTCTCTAATTGGCTTTTACTTAAAAATACAGGTAAAATTTATTTGTGCTTTTTTGCTATTTCTGTTTTGCTATTCTCTGTCTATGTCTTCTCCACATAGACACAATTAGGGAATTTTGTACCCTCTTGTGCCAACTGCTTTGATAGTAACAAAATGTATTTCTGGAACTCCTAGGTATAAAACTCAAGTATCCACAATTTAAATTCTTTTTTACTCATTTCTATTATGTTTCCAGTCTCAATAGAAATCGATGACAATCCAGAAATACAAGCATTATTCTAATACTTCTCACACATTACAGGTATAGATTAAATTTTCTAGATCTCCTTAAATACTATCATTTTTCACTACTTGTATCTTAACTGTTAAGTTCAACATTTTCTATAATATTAATATGTTGTGAAAATTTCCTTACTTTCTTGTTTGTCCCAAGTTCAAGGTTTTGCAGTCTCTACCTCACCCTGTGAAGCATAAACATTGTACTATGCTGTACAAATATTACATAGTTCATGTGCTTAGAGATTGCACAATTTTTGTTTGGTTGACAATAGCTAATGTTTTCTTCTTCATTTTCTATTTCCTGATTTTTCTTTATTTAGTATATGCTACATTATCATAAACATAAGAACGTTTTACAAACTAAAGCAAAAGAAACCCTAGGAAAAAAATGCACAAATAAAATATATAAACATACAATTAGATGTACCATGTACCCTTCTAATTTATTTAGACATTTAATTGTAGTACAATTTTAATTAAAGTCTGTGTATTATCTGCCATCGTCTTAGTATTTTTTATATAACAAATTGTGTAAATCAAAAAGCCTCAATGTCATTATAAACTATCTTGGCAGAGGTTGATGTCCAAGGAATAATTTCTCTCCCAAATTATGTCAATCAGAATTTCACTCTACCATAATTCTTTTAATCAGTTTCAGAGGAATCATAAATTTCAAAATTGTTCAAGGTTGTTGTTGTAGTTCAAGTACATTTTGACAGGTGTAAAACTGTAGACAGACTGATACAAACATATTCTATTTGACACAAAAGTATATGGGTCCTTTTTTAAATTCTAGACTTTAAAATGTCTTGTCAACGTACACATGTTCTCCTTGTGAAATAATTGCTTTTTATTCTCTGGATAGAATAATTTAATCTTTAAACCTTCAATTCACTGTTAAAAACAAAATATTACCTAAGGATATGCTTATAAAAATAATTCACAGCTAGCTTTTCAATTCAGAAATATATGTGAAAAATCATCAAGCATCTAATGGATTTCAAGGAGAAATGGGTTAGTAATTTATTCCATATGTCTCAATTTTTCCTAGATTCAAGGCTTCCTTTAAAATAATTGTAGGCGTTTAAGAAACCATGTAAACTAAAAAGAAGAAATTGTGACACTGCCGCTTAGGTTTTTTAAATCTTTTGACATGAATCAATATACTTTTTAATTTTATCTTAATTAGACATTGTGAGTTCACCATCTTCCTGTCAGTACAGCATCCAAGCTGATTATCATAGATTACAAGTTACACTATCAACTGTATTCTGAGACTCTTAAAAAAAAATGAGTGTTTTTGTTTGGGTATTCTTAAAGCAGGAGTGAGGACACAGCGAAAGTGAGACAAGGAAGAGAGAACAAAATAAAACAGGAAAGATAGAAAAGCCAGTACCACACGTGTTAAGAGGCAAGTTCCTGTGTTAGATATCTGGGCTTAATTCTATGGGAAGCTATGTGGAACATGCCTCAGAATTACATCACTGAATCCAGGGAGATTCTTCTTAGTTGCCCTCACCTTTTCTTCCCACTTGCCCAGTATCAAGCTCCCATGCTGCTAGAGAAAGTCCTCAGCTAGAAACAGCTGCAAATTCTGGAGATGAGACCTTGTAGAGTGTTAAGAGTGGTTTTCTTCCCAGCAGCTACAGGTAAGGAATAGGGGCTGGGCTATTAATACATCTGCTACAAATCAATATACCCCTTATGCTCCTTTTGGTGATCGACAATGTATTTGAAAATATTAGATGATCAAGAAGGGCTGCAGAAAGCAGGAAACAGAAACAAACAGCACACCTCTTGGTTTATTTTTATTCATTTCATCAGTTTCAAGGAAAATGTGTTGGGAGTTCCTGGCATAGAGAATGTCACAAAGATATGTTTTCAATAGTGGTGCTATCCCTAGGGCAGAGAAGATCCAGAGAAAGCACAAGTGGCTGCTGGAACAAAGTCAGACACCGTGCCACCTGTCCACACTCCTTGGTTCTGCCATCATGCTGAAGATTGGTTTAAAGGGCTGGCTTCCCTTCCCACAAAATTAAAAGAGCACAGACTGAGAAACTGAATGTGGGAGACAGCAGTGGATTATGCTGTTCTCAGGGGTCACCTCAGCTTTGGAAGCATTCTTTCAAATTAACCCATCTCAGGCCATCTGCAGAGAAGAAAGGTGATACCTAACTTTTTTTCTTGTCAGCACTTGGTAGGGGTGTTTTGTTGACCAAATATGTTCCCACAACCTAGTTTCTTGTAACTAACTAAATATAGTAGATTTTTAAATGTTATCATCAAAATCTATAGACAATTTTTTATTAAAATAGGCTCCACATCTATGTCCTCCTTTTCTTCTTATTAATTACATTGCTGTATAAAAGAACAAGACTTCAGAATCAAGAATATCTTGTCTCTTGGCATTGAATTTTTACAAGGTGCTCTTTCTTTAATGCTGTCTCAAAGCACATATTTTTACTCATTAAAAAGGAAGATCAGAATCTAGTTGTATGCACTGCTCCAACATATTAATAATTAAAATTAGGAGGTAAATGTGGTCAAAGCTATAGAAAGACTTGAGATGTCATTTATATTGATTACTGTATAGCACTCTACAAACAGAAATTGTTAAATAATAGTTTATATAAATATTTTGTAGCATTTCAAATATTTGAGTGCCTGAAATTTCTCCTCCAATATAGTTCAGATTATCAATTTGAAGACTTACTCCGCTGGTTAAAAAGTTTTTAGTCTCGTTTGAGTATTATATAAAAGCAATTTTCAGTTAAATGTGTTCCGCTTACATAAAACATTACAAATTAGTGAGTATTTAATTACATTTTCGTGTTCCTGTAATGCCTTTAGAAGATTTTCATATTATTACCTATCAATATATGTATGCTTTTTCTAAGAAAAATCAATCATACACATCATTGAAATTGAAACTTTTTTAAAGTACTTATTAATTCTATTGAAAAACCACATCCATAGGAGCAATTACAATATAATATTGTGAACATGTAAATATATATCCTGTCTATTTTATATATAAGCATATGTGATTAAAACTATAGTTCAGAATTTTTAAACCTAGTATTATAAAGTAAAAATTAGTTAAACTTCTGATGATTATTTGTTAATTAAGATAAAATTATTTTGATTTGGGTGATTTTAAATGAACAAAAATATTAAATTACATGACAAAAATTCTTTATAAAATGTTTACGATTTTTACATTGGTTTTATCACTTTATTCCACTATTTTATTTTAAGATGACCTGCCTTGTTTAAAACACTGTATTCATCTTAATTAAATTAAATTCCATTTGTAAAAAAATTAACAAATGATTTGCTCTATTATACAGTGAGGTTATAAACTGAGTCAGTATCTCAAGATTTGATCCCCATTATCGTCATCCGTGGCCCTATTTGTTTGATAAATGTAGTGTCTTTTTCCATGCCTGTCACATCTCTATTGCTCATTTATTTTTCTCCTTGTCCCTTATAGGGAGCATTGCCTATCTCTAGATTAAGCAAAAGTTGCATCTTAAAAAAGCACAATAACCTGCTCAATCTTTCTCACACAGAGAAATGTTTGTTAAGTAATTAAATTGTAGATGATGATACAAAGAGCTTGATTAAATAAGATGCCAAAGTACCCTTGTGATTCAGAATAGGAATGGTATTTAATGCCTTTGAAATCAATAATTGCTGAGTGACATTAATTAATGCCAATATTTCAGAAGTTGTTCTGGTTTGTGAAATGTGTACAACATGTAAAAGTTTCCGAACTCTGAAGGGCAACATTATTCTATCATTAAGAATTAAGAATTAATTCACATTAATTATTGGGGAGAAATAATTTTAAGAATTAATGACTGAGAAAACGTTTTTTTTATTTAGAAAATTATTTTGTGCATGAGCATTACTGCAAGTTTTGCAAGAAACATAAAATTATAGAAACAATTATGTGCACAAGATGAATTTAATAACATCTTGATATTTCCCACTATTACAGTTGTATTTGGTAAATCTTTAAATGCCCATCATCTAAAGATAATAAATGAATCTTGGAAATCTTGAAGGTAAGGGTAAATATAAGGATGCATCCAATTACATTTACACACACATAAAATTACATTTACACAAACATACATGCACACACGCTCACTGATACAGGTAAGCATATATATACATGAATTTACCAATTGATTTTAGCTAATATTTGTAAGAGCCTGTAGGATTGATATATATTGTTGAACCTGAAAAATATTTATTATATACATGGTTAAAATACACAAAGAAATAAATAGTAATTGCACTAGGCATTTGAAACTGTACTTAAATATAAGCTGTGAACATTTTGTGATCATTACAAATTCTTACACTGAATATTTTTATTTTTATAATAATATGTTTGATACATGTGTACATTTTTTAAAATGTATTATTTTTGTCATAGAGTCATGTCATGTATAATAACATTTCAGTCAAAGATGGATTACATATACAAAAGTGGTCCCATGAGATTATAATACATATTTTTACATTCTTTTCTATGTTTAAGTATGTTTAGATACATAAACTCTTACCACTGTGTTCTTATTGCCTGCAGTATTCAGTATAGTAATGTAGTACACAGGTTTGTAGCCTAGGGGAGAGAGGCTATACCATATAACCTAAACGTGGTAGGCTGTACAAACTAGGTGTTTGTAATATTCTCTCTGACGTTGGCAAAATGATGAAATTGCCTATGGATGCATCTGTTAGAACGTATCCCTGTCATTCAGTGATGCGTGACTGTGCTAAAATGCTAAATCTAAGTTTCAATGACCTCCATAAAATTGTTGTACTTTGAAATACAAATCTCTCACCTATGGCCTGAATATCTTTGCAAAGTAAGCAGATCATGGGAAGGAGAATGTGCTGGCATCGCTGGGATGATTTTCTCACACTACATGAATAATATCTCCAGACTTTGAGAATATGAGCCACTTGCATAGAGTTAAAGTAAGCATCTCTTTGCTGGGAAATTTATCAAATGGGAGTATGAAGTCTTTTTAAAAGATACTTGTCTGTTTGTAGATGGTAGGCCTACAGTGGCTCATGGCAATGGTTGAGGTTGCTAAGATCTGGTGGAAGGAGGCAAAATGAAATGGCCACTTATATGGTATATGGATCACTTGTTTCTGTTGAGTTACAGATTCAGCTGGCTATTTCTCCCAATGTTAGTTATTTGGAGAAAAAACCATGATGGTAATTGTGGGGTAACAAATACAATATTTGATGAAAACAAATTTATTGAGGGTTAGACAAACTACAAGATAATTTAGGCTGCAAAGTCAACACGAGACTTCTGCCCCAAATTGTGCAGAGTTTGGGTCCAGCTGCAAAGTTCAAAGGAAGAGGCCATATAAGATGATTCGCACTTTTGTCACCAATTGCCAGTTCAGGGGTTTCCCAAGAACACCCTCAGTTTCAAGAATTTACTAAAAAGACTCACAAAAGTCATTGAATGCCATTGTACTCATGGTTTATAATAGAGAAAGGGTAGAAATTAGGACCAATCAAAGGAAGAGACATATCACATAAGGTGGAATCTAGGAGGATTTTGAATGTTAAATTTCCATTGTCTTCAGGACATATTACCTGTCATTGTTGTACAGCAATAAACATGGAGTACTACCAACCTGGGGAGCTCACCTGATGCTAAAAAGACACTATTTCGAAAATGAAAAGACAAAGGAAAGGATGAGATAAGATAACCTTCCACATTAAGGCACTGGAAAGAATAGCAAACTAAACCTAAAGCAAGCAGAAGGAAGAAAATAAAAATTAGAGAAATTAATAATTTATAATATTAATCATATTTGTTAGTATTGACTAATTAATATTAATTCTTGACTGACTTTTTTAAAAAAGAGAAATATTCACTTCCCAATTTATTCTATGGGGCCAGTGTTACCTTGATACAAAAATTAGTCCAAATAGCATAGAAAAATAAAACTACTATAAGTATAAATGCAAAATTCCTTAAAAACTACTAACAAATCAGATCTAGCAACATATACAAGAATTATACACTATGACAAAGTGAAATTTATACTAGTAATCTCAGGTTGGTTTAACAGCCCAAAATCCATTAAGGTAATACATCTTATCCATAGAATAAGAAACAAGAATTGCATGATCATGTCGATAGATTCAGAAAAGACATTTAACAAAATCCAAATGCTTTAATGATTAAAAATAAAAATAAAAACTCAATGAACCAGGAATAGAGAACTTTCAACACCAGATACATGGCACCTGTGAAAAGCCAACAGCAAGAATGCAACTTAATGGTAAAGGATGCTTTCCCGCTATGGTCAGAGATAGGAATAGGATATATACTTTGAGCTCTTCTAGTCAACACTGTACTAAAGATTTTATGCAGGGCAAGTCGGCAACTAAAAAAAAAGAGTCAACCATATTGAACAGGAAGAAATAAAACTTTATTTGAAAATAATATTCTTGTATATAGAAAATTTTAAGGAATTCACTGAACAATAGAACTAGTAAATTATTTCAGCAATATTACAGCATACAAGATAAATCTACAAAAATCAATTGCACACATCTACAATGAAAACCCAAAAATGAAATTAAGAAAACACTTCAATTTAAAATAGCACCAAAAAAAGAAATAATAATTAATTTGGAAAATGTGATACAAGATTTTACTCGGAAAATTAAAAATTATTGTTTAAAGAAGATCTAAATAATTAGCAAATATCTTACAGCCATGAATTGGAAGATTTAATATTGTAGTACTTTCAAGTTGAACTACAGATTTGACGTAATCCCTGCAAGTATCCCAACAGACTTCTGTCTAGAAACTGACAAGCTGATTCTAAAATACACATGGGAATGTAAGGGACCCAAAATAGACAAAATAGTCTTGAAAAAAGAAAACATATTAGGATAATTCACACCCCCGTGCTCCAAACCTTACGGCAAGGCATCAGTAATCAAGACAACACAATACTGATGAAAGAAAAATATATAGATTGATGGAAGAGAATTGAGAGTCCATATATAAAACTATGTGTCTATAGTCAATGGATTCTTACAGTGGTGCCATGTGCAATTCAATGAGGAAGGGACAGTCTTTGAACAAACTGGGTCAACAGCGTACACGTGGATCGCCACTTGCAAAATAATAAACTGGAACCCTTACCCCAAAGCATACAAAAATATTAACTCAAATGAATTAAAGACATACATGCAAGAGCTAGAATAAAGCATATGGGAAAATCTTCAGGATTTTGGATCTAGCAAAGAAATAACTGTAACACCAAAAACATGAGCAACAAAATAAAAATTAGATATTTAAAATTTCTTAAAAATTAAAGACATTGGTGTTTCAAAGGACAACCAAGCAAGTCAAAAGGCAGCTCAAAAATTGTGAGAAAATATTTGAAAAACACATATCTATATGTCTGCATATATATGTATCTTGAATATAGAAAAATTGTTTTAACTCAGTAACAAATATCCCAACTCAAAACTGATAAACGATAGGAATAGATGTGTTTTCCAAGAAGATACACGAACGGTCAATAATCCCATAAAAAGATACTCAACAGCATCACTCATCAGGCAACTACAAATCAAAACCACAGTTAGATACGCTATGGCTAGAACTGGCCACTTTGGAAAATAGGTTGATGGCTTCTAAATATATTAAACATAGAATTGTCATATGACCCAGAAATTTATTCCCAGGTATACACCTAGATTATTGGAAAGAGGTGTTCAAACACAAATTGTACACAAGTATTTTTAGCAGCAGTATTTAAAATAGCCAAAGGCTGAACACAACTCAAATGTCAATAAAAATATTATTGGATAAACAAAATGTCATATCCATGAAATTGAATGTTATACAGGTATAAAAACAAATAAAGTACCGATACGCATATGAACCTTGATAGCATTATGCCAACTGAAAGAAGCCAGGCACAAAAGGCCACCTATTGTATGATTCTATTTAGATGAAAATAGAATAGGAAAATCTACAGAGACAGAAAACAGATTTGTGGTTGCTTAGGATTGAGTAGGGGATGAGTGCATAGGAGGTTAACAGCTAGAGAAAGTGGGGTTTCTTTTTGAAGTGATGAAAATGCTCTAAAATTCATTGTGATGATGGCTCCACTTATCTGCGTATATACTAAAAGCCATTGACTTGTAGACATTAATATGTGCACTCTACACTATGTAAATTATATCTCAATAAATCCTTTCAAAAATACACAGAAGACTAAGGGGTTTTGGAATGTTTCAGCTGGGAGGCAGTTTGAAATACTGAATAGGTCTCATCGAGAATGTGAGGTTTCAGTAAAGATTTGAGGAGTCGAATGAGCTGATCAATGGATATATGGGGGGATTTCTTTCAAAGCCAAGAAATTAACTAGAGTCTTGGTCATAAGACAGCAGCATGTTGGCATGTCCAGAGGACAGTGAGGTGGACAGGACCACTGGTAAGGTCAAGGGTGAAGACATAAAAGAATTTTGGCGGTTAACATGCGGCAGATCATGATGGGCTTGCAGACCATTGTACGAATTGTGTCTTTTAGTGTAAATGAAATGGGGAGACAAATCATTACCACACTATCAATATTTTAATAAATTGGATCCATGAACCAAATACAATGAGATTAAATCAATTAGTAATAATATGCACATTTGTATTAAAATTACAAGAATTACTTGCACATTTGAGAACAGGAGAGTCATGATTTTTTATCAGCAATAATAAGCTATTAATTTTAATTGTGATCAGCTAATTGAGATTAATTGCAATACATCATGCTTTATAATGTGACTGTCAAAAGGAAAGTATGATTGTAATCTTATACTACATCTATCAATGTCTTTGATTCAGAGGACTATAGAATAAGCCCCTAGTTTTCAAAGCCAACTGATGAGGCAGTGACATCTTATGCAAGTTTGCTGCTTTCTGCCACAGTGGTCCTTGGTCAGCTGGCACAAATTGTTTTACAAACACCACTAGGTCTAAAAAAAGTTTGGATCACAATGAACACAGAAATACCTTCATTCCTTCAGAAATACCTATCAATTACTTCCAATACAGAATGAAAAATTGACAACGGAAGTATGTCGATTGTAAAAATGCCACATAGCTTGCATCTACATGAAAGAAAAATGCCATTTTTATTACAATACATCATCGTTTTACATGAGTTTTGGTATAGCACAATGTTGAACCAAGGGCAAAGAAAGATGAATTAATGAAATCTTAAGACATCAAGAATTTGAAAGAAAAGGAAGGTCATCTTTGAAGGTTAGTGACATAGCATTCATCTTCTGTTGTCACCTTTTCCGTCATTCCCTGTATGCCTGATGGACAGCTTTCACTCAAGTTCAGAGAACAGCATGCAAAGATTAGCTACCAATTAATTTTTATGAAGTGAGCTTAATTTCTAGCCAGACCGAGCTTATGTTTTAGCAGGAAGCATTTTTGGGAAATGTTTATGTTAGAGTTTGCCCTTCTTGACAAGGTGAGGCATAAATGTCTACTTTATAGACATGAATTAAGATGGGAAGATATTTGGGGGAAAAATTTTCTCAAATGCTAAATAACAAAGGTACACAAAGGGGAAATTATACTAGATTTATTTCCCACTTGTTTTCTATGTCTCATCCAATTCACCTTGATTCCCTTCAGTTTCTGTTTAATGTAGAAAGTGGCATTTTCATTATTTTAAGCTTCTAGCGCAATGAAAGAATTTCTCTTTTTCTTGAACAGGATCGTAAATGAAAGGGAGGAAGAGTGTCCAATATCATATTTATTGTTCAACAAAACACTGCTCCACGGCTTAAATTCAGTTTAAAAAAGAGAATTTATTGAACATCTAACACATACATAAAAGGCAGTAAAGACAAATGAGAAGAGGGCAGGATATTGAAGTATACAGACTTAAATGCTGAGTTTTGTATCTTAGTAAGTTACTGCACCTTACAGAGACTCAATTTTCACTGATTTAGGAAGGCGATGTTAATGGGTATTTCATAGGTGTAAGTATAAAAATGTTGTATTTAAGAGAATCCCACAAGCTTGGTATAAGGCAGAAAATAAATAGATGTGACATTAATGAGTAGTTTCTTACATTTGTATGCTACCTGCAGACTAGAGGAAGCAAGAAACACAGCCACTATGCTTGATTAGCATTATATTCTAATTTGGAATATAAATAGAAAAGAGAAAAATAGAAAGCTATGCATAAACACATGCATTAAAATGAATTTTATGTGGACTCTTTCAGGAAAATGTTCCTAAGGTATTTTATTTTTTTATTGTGGTAAAATACACATAACATAAAATGTACTCTGTTAACCATTTTAAATGTACAGTTCAGTGGTACTAAATATAGTCATAACATTGTGCAGCCGTCCCTACCATCCATCTCCATAACTCGTTTCATCTTGTGAAACTGAAACTCTATACCCATTAAACAGTACTTTCCCATGTCTTCCTCCCCCCAGCTTCTGGCATTCATCATTGTACTATCTCTATGATTCTGTCCAGTTTAAGTCTCTTATACAAATGGAATTGTACTGTATTTGTCCTTCACTGACTAACTTATTTCACTTGGCATAATATCCTCAAGTTTCATCCAAGATGCAACATATGTCTGAATATTTCCCTCATGTTTAAGGCTGAATGATTTTCCATTGTATGTATATATCATGTTTTGCATATCCATTCGTCTGTTGTTGGACACTTCAATTGCTTCTACGTTTTAGCTATTGCCAATAATGCTGCTGCAAACATGGATGTGCAAATATTTTTTCAAGACTCTGCTTTCAATTCTTTTGCTGTCTTGAGATGTGGGGCTGCTGAATCGTAAGGCAATACCATTTTGATGTTTTGAGGAACTACCATACTCTTTTCCACAGCAAACATAGGGTTTGGCATTCCCTCCAATATTGCAAAACGAATCGCCACGTCCTTGCCTGTGGATTTTATTCACAAGTCCTGTGGCTCTCTCTACATAACGGCCACCATGTGTTATTTCCTGTTTATATATATGAAATCAAAGGTGCAGGAAATAATGAACTAAATTGGAAGGATAAACATGTAGAAAAATAGAGGTAAATACTGACTACATAAAACCATAAGAATAAGAATTTTGGATGATCTATATATTATATATCTATTTATCTAACATCTGTCTGTTCCTCCATCTGTAATTAAAATATATTACAGTTAGAGAACAGAGAAAAAAGTAGGAATACATGAATTTAAATTTTAATTCTTCTTAGATTGTCTCACAGCATCATTATATGACAGAAAATTTATAGGTCAGTGTCTGTTAACTATAAATGTAACATTCTTAAAGAATTCAAATACATTGAATTACAGCATGAATAAAATATTACAATCCATTCAAGTTTATTTTATTCCAGGAACACAAAAATACAAATTTCATTTGCAATTCAAGAAAAACAGAAATCGATACATATGATTGATGTATATACACATTTAATGTATTTTTAAATATACATTTTTAAAAAATAGAAATTTAACTAGGACAACTACTTAAAATATCACTGAAAATAGTGTTAGTAGATAATACCTTCCTAATAACTCTGGTATTACATAAGAAAACAAAATTAAAATTTCAGATAAGCTTAGAAACTAAAAATTTTAAAAATATTATTCTGTTCTCCATATGTTCATATTTAATATTATTTCTTGTTTTCATTCTTCTTCAGTGTTCCTCTACTAAAATATAACATACAACAGTTACTTTTGATTTCTGTTCTTATTACTCAAAATTGTATACATTTTCTCATGCTCTTAATTTAGCCATGCTACTTTTCTGTACTCCTGGAATTTTCACATTTTTGTTCACTCTCTTTTGAGTTCCCATAGTATCAAATAAGCTTTTTTCCCTCTTTTCTGATTTGAAGGTTCATCTCATAATTATTTTGTCCACTCAATTTCTTTTCATTCTCAGTTAAGGGCCTCTCATCTGGCTTCTTTTCATTTGTAAGGTTTCCTTTCATCTTAAGCCAGTCTTTTATTTATATTTTGATTTTGTTTTGTGGAGGACATGCTTTCCTGAATTTTAAGGAAGAGGCTAAAAGGTTCGTTCAAGTTTTTACCTGATACATTGGATTAAATTATCTAATGGACACACCCTTAATTTAAGTCTAGGGGCGACTGTCTACTCTTGATTTTGTATAGTATTATTTTTCTTAACATCCAAGTCCATCTTCATCTATTTGTATATGATCAATAAAAATATATTTGTCCAGAACCCTGCTTTGGTGGAGTTACTTCTTTCTAAGTAGGAGAGGTAGCAGTTGAGACATGAGCTGGGTTCTGGGTCAGTTTAGAGGGCTGGGCGACATTCCTCCTTTTGGTCTGTATGACTGAATGAATGCGGTTCTTGCTGTCTCGCTCCTCTCCTTAACACATTGAGCCATTGCAGCAGATGAGAAGGAATAATCCTGATCTGCCATTGAGGTGGAACACATGTTCTCTCCAACCACATCCATAGGTTGTACTCACACTCGGCCAGAATGTATCCTGTCAATGATATGGAGATGTATCTAGCTATCTAGTTAGATATCTACTTTGGTTTATGCTCTCTGGTTGCCCGTAAATTATCTCCTTAAAGTGAATATCAAAAGAGAGCTTGGTGATGGCAGTGTTATAAAATCCTCAAAATGCAGCACCCTCACCCAGAGGAATTTGTAGATTCTGGGATTCTAATTCAGATACCAAACTATATAAAAGGGGCATTGGTCATTGAGGGTTGCTAGGCTCTTTGTGGAGCATATTTGCTCTTTTCATGACTTTGAAATTATTTTAAAAATCTAACCTTTTTCTCAGTGTGCTGCAAGATGATTTGATTTTAATGCACGAGCACTGATTCTCCCCTAAGATTTGTACAATATATTTACTCTGACAAGCCATAGCCAGCAACTCACTTCACAGCAATTTATAGCATTTCCACGACAAGTTGAATTATTTTTAACTAGACTCTCTTTGCCTTAATCAAAATATGAAGAAGCAATATATTGTTCTAGTTAGGTTCAAAAGTTGGCAGTCTCTCTCCTGGAAAGAATAATAAAACTTTTCAGTGGCCTAATATGCATCTATAGACACACACACACACACACACACACACACACACACACACACACACAGGCACTATTCATAATATTTAAAGCACATTCTGTTCTATGACTTCATTTATCTAGCACAAAATAAAACGATCTCAGTATATGTCAAGTACCAATTATTTCGTATGGCCAATTATAGGTATTTTATTTTTTAAAGATTCGAGTGTTCTTGAAGCTCTTTCTATTTCTTTGTCAATGAACTAAACATTGGCAAATATGTAGGGTTTCCCACATAAGAACATTATTAACATCAAAATAGAAAGCTGGTGGTAGAAATAATGATTAGGAACACAGAGTCTCTACTCAGCGTTCTACTTCTGCTATACCATAAGTTTGTGATCTCACGAAATATCTCTCCATGTTGTCATCCCTATGTATAGTTCTGTCATTTTTCAATAAGAGCTTTTTGCTTAATTATGAAGTACTAGTTACTATAACCATTATTTTGAGCTTCATGTAAATCAAGAACACATGGACTCCACTTGCAAAACATTGAAAATGTAGTTAGGGATTGGGGCCTAAAGCAACATTTTAAAATGTGTAAAGACAATGAGTAAGCAACAAAGTGTCCAATTTTTTAGGGCAAATTTGCATACGTCAGGAAAAGGCAGGATTAAGTAACAGAGAATTTGAATGATAACTGGCCAATTGGTGTCGTTTACAATTGCAAGTCATACAAATGAAGTTTGCTTTTTTAAAGAGAAAAGGAGTTAGTTAGAATGGGTCAACCTATTGGGGAAGCAATGTAGTTAGAGACAATGCCCAAAACCATGTGAGCAAATGCTCTGTAGAGCGCACCCCTGCAATGCTGCCATTGTGAGGCCAAGTCTCTCCTTGTCTTGGTACTGAGCCCTCCATTCTGCCTCCATCATTGCCACTGTAGCTGCCACAAAGTGAACCCTCAACCACCGCTGCCCAGGAACAAAGAAAGAATTATGTCCTTCCGCGCTCTCAGATCAATTTCCAACATCAGGTGAGCCTTTGATGGGCACTATTCAGTTCCCATATCCCTGAAATAGATGCAGTAAAAACATAGAAATTGCCTATGTGTTTCCCAATAAGACACATATGGAAGCCTGTTTTCCCACAACAGGAAGGGTTTTCCATGATGGGTGTTCAAAGGAACAATATTCCCTGCAAACCATACTTTGCCCATGTGAAGAAAAGCAATGAGGATTATTTAGTAAATAGACATAGAAACTCATCCAGGGTTGGCTGATGAGAATCTGGTTAGCAAGGGGGTCTGCCTTCAGTTAGGACAAGGTCTGTGCTCCCCACAGGTTCTCTCCACAGCATGAGGGATGCAAACTTCCCTTTCCTCCCCTGCACCTACCCTCAAATGGCCCAGAGGTCTTCAGGTGCTAGAATTTCTCAATTAATGCTGCACAAAATAACAGACAGCCTTGGCTGTCACAGTCTGTTCTCATGAAGCTAGTCTCTGCTCACTACATAAAACAGGAGAGTAAGAACAAGGGTGTTTAACGCTACCCTAGCTCAAACAAGTTTCTCTCTGTAGGATGCCAAGAACCTGGGAACCAGTGCATCTGCTGCTTTCCCTTCTCGGATTCTAGCCCAGACAAAAGAGGCAAGGGTCATTTCTTCAGAGGCCTTGAGCTTCACTACACAATGCTCCAGGCTCTACATGCACCCTCTTTATATATTTCTACCTTGAAAAAAATTTTTATATAATATTAATAGTATATATTTCTATATAAGAAACACATATGTTTATTTTATAGACAGATATACATAGATAAAGATCTCTAGTCACCCTTTTTTAAGGCTGGGCTGATCGCGGTGCCTCAAATCTATAATCCCAGCACTTTGGGAGGCCAAGGTGGCCAGATCTCTTGAGTCCAGGAGTTGGAGATCAGCCAGGGCAACATGGTGAAACCCCATCTTTACAAAAATTAGCTAGTATGGTGTCATGCACTTGCAGTCCCTGCTACTCAGGAGACTGAGGTGGGAGAATCGCTTGAGCACAGTATGTGAAGGCTTCAGTGAGCTCTGATCACATGAATGCACCCCATCTTGGGTGACAAAGTGAAACCCTCTCTGAAAAATAAAATAAAATAAAAAGGCTACCACCATACTCACAGATAAGTGTGTCAGGTATATTTGCAGCTATCCTTCCTATATTCTATTTGGTAAAAAAAAAAAAAAAAAAAAAAAAAAAAAAAATGCAAAGAACTCTTCTCATTCTAGATTTTTGTATTACTTAGACATTTGAAGTTTATAGCAGAAGAGCTATAATCATGTTTGGTATGTGTACTCTATAGACCAGATAGTGCAAACAGATATCAATGCTTTTTAAAAGTATATAAGGTTATTAGAAATATTTTAAACTACCTATAGGTGTATATGTATCTAATTGAACTATCAAATGCAAGTAAGATCATTTCCTTAGCGTGTTAAATCCACTCAATTTATTAAAATATTTTCTAATGTCTATTACAATAATGTTTCTTAATTAGCTAACATAAGAGGAGTTTTAAGACATTTATTTATATGTACTTACTAGATTCAAACTCGATTCCACTATTTTCAGAAATCATGCTCTGAGACAAGTCCTTTTTTTATCTAACTATGTTTCTGCCTATATTAAAAGACAGATATGTCCATTTTGCTAATCATGCTGTTCCAAACCTCTCCATCCTATTTTTCGGTTTGTTCTAGCAGTCATTCAGAGACTTACTTATATTCAAATTTCTCTCTAGGTTTAACATTTGTGTATGTCTTCTTGTGGTTTTGTCTATTTTTGCTGTATATAAGACATTTATTGACATATATCATACATGCAGAAAAGTACAATGATTAAATATGGATAGCTTCATTAATGAAACACATGTATTTGCTTATAACCATGTATGAAAATAGAACATTACTAAAAATAGTGATACTTCTCCTGCCCCTTTCCAAACACTAACCCTCATCCTCAATAGCAACAGATTTTTTTTTATCATAATTTGGTCTATTTTCAAATTTTTATTAAATAAATCAGAGTATCTACTCTAAGTCTATGTTTCTCTCATTGTTGCTATTTTGCTTATAGTATTTATCTGCTAATGGACATGGTAGATTAAAGACGGCTACATACACATTTTTTAATTAATAGATTTTTTGAGCACTTTGTGGCTCATGCCTCTAATCCCATCACTTTGGGAGGCTGAGGTGCGTGGATCATGAGGTCAGGAGATCCAGACAATCCTGGCCAATGTGGTAAAACCCCTTCTCTACTAAACTACAAAAAATTAGCTGATAGATAACATCAAGATAACATCTGGGTTCTTAGCTGCACTGAGTCAAGCCAACTTACATCTTTGTTTGTCTTCCTCTGCACTTTTCCTTCCACATCACACTCCAGGAATGCCAAGCTGTGCTGGCCTTCTACCCCATTTCCACTACTTTGCCCCCGCCGACGCGGCTTTTTGCCGCCATGGATTTTTGCCCCCGCTGCTGCGGGTTTTTGCGGCTTTATGCCTCCGCCGCCTCGACTTTTTGCCCCCGCCTCCGTTGCTTTCTGCCCCGGCCACCACGGCTTTCTGCCCCCGGCCTCGCGGAATTTAGCCCCTGCTGCCGCGGCTTTTTGGGGATCTTTGCCCTCGCAGCCGCGGCTTTTTGCCGCCGCAGCTTTTTGCGTCTTTCTCCCCCCACCGCCGCGGCTTTTTGCGGCTTTTTTCCCCCTGCCGCTGCAGCTTTTTGCCCCCGCCACCGCGACTTTTTCCGCCGCGGCTTTTTGCCACCGCCGCCGCGGCTTTTTATGACTTTTGGCCCCCGGCGCCGTGGCTTTTTACGGCTTTTCGCCCCCGCCGCCGCAGGTTTTTCCCGCCGCGGCTTCTTGCCCCCGCCGCCCCGGCTTTTTGCGGCTTTTTGCCGCCGCGGCTTTTGGCCCCCGCCGCCGCGACTTTTTTCCCCTGTCGCCGCAGGTTTCTCCTGCCCCGGCTTCTTGCCCCCACCGCCCGGGCTTTTTGCCCCCACCGCCGCGGCTATTTGCGGCTATTTGCACCTGCCACCGCGGAGTTTTGCCCCGTATGCGGCTTCCTGCCCCCGCCGCCGCGGGTTTTTATCACCCCCGCCGCTTTTTGCCCCCGCCGCCGCGGGTTTTTGCCCCCGCCCCCGTTGCTTTTTACCCCCGCCGCTGCGGCTTTCTGCCCCTGCCGACGAGGGTTTTTGCGGCTTTATATCCCCGCTGTCGTGGCTTTTTGCCGCCGTGGCTTTTTGCCCCCTCAGCCGTGGTTTTTTGCGGCTTTTGGCACCCGTCGCCGCCGCTTTTTGGGGCTTTTGGTGCCCGCCGCCGCGGCTTTTTTCCCCCGCCGCCGCAGATTTTTCCCGCCGCGGCTTTTTGCCGCCCCTGCTTTTTGCCCCCCTCCCCCCGCAGCCGCTTTCTGCCCCCGCCGCCGCATCTTTTTGCCGCCGCGGCTTTTTGCCCCCGCCGTCGCGGCTTTTTGCCCCCAATGCTGCGGCTTTTTACGGCTTTTTGTGCCCATCACCGTAGCTTTTTGCCTCCGCCACCACAGCTTTTTGCCTCCGCCACCGCGGCTTTTTGACCCCGCCGCCATGGCTTGTTGCCCCCGTCGCCCTGGCCTTTTCCCCCACCGCCCCGGCTTTTTGCGCCCACCGCTGCAGTTTTTTGCCCCCACCGCCGCGGGTCTGAGGGCTGGATCCGCAGACTTGGCTGCCAGCTCTACCGGCGTCCTGACTAAGGCAGCGCCAAGGGGCGCTCCTGGTCCAGCTCTCCCGAATCAGGGGTTCCTTGCCTAGACGCCGGCGCCCAGGGCTCCGCTCCTGGGCTGCTGCAGCCCGCATAGAGCGGCGCTGCGCTCGGCTGCAATGGGAGAGAAGAAGGAGGGCAGTGGCGGGGGTGACGCGGCTATCGCGTAGGGAGGCACAGGGGCCGCGGCCAGCCGGGCGCTGCAGCAGTGCGGGCAGCTCCAGAAGCTCATCGGCATCTCCGTTGGCAGCCTGCGCGGGCTGCGCACCAAGTGCGCTGTGTCCAAGGACCTCACCCAGCAGGAGATACGGACCCTGGAGGTAAGGGGGTCAGGGACCAGGGCTGGGCTCCAGCACCAGACTGGACACCTCCATCTGGGCCCCAGTTCACTCCTGGCCGAGTTGCATCCTTGAGCCCACGTCGCCCCTTTGGAGGCTTCTCCTCCCTCCTGCACTCGCTGATGCGGCAGCCGGAGGACCTGGGACCAGCCCTCACCTTGGGCAGGATTTGTGGAGCGGTTGCGTGTTGGGAACTGTGATGGATGCTCAAGGGGCCCATGGGCGGGGTGGGCTGCACGCGGACATCCCCTTACCCCCTGAATTGCCATCTGGTCCAGCCCTCTCATCTTGTAGGTGAGGAAACCGAAGGCCTGAGGGAGAAATGACTTGCCAGGAACCCCTGTTAAGGAGAATTAACAAAGAGTGGTTATTAAAGGAGCACTGAGTTGGGAGTCAGACCTGGAGGCCCGCACCCTTGGTTAAGACATTATAACACCTTGAGTCTGGCCTGTTGACTGAGGGTGAGCCACTCCATCCTCGTCTGATTGTGGGGTCTTGACCTCAAGGGGTTTCCTGCAGGAAGAAGCAAATGGGTTTGCCTCCCTAGCTCTGTCCAGTACCTTAGGGACCCTGAGAACTAGAGAGATTCTTGGAGAGCCATCTGGTGTATGTCATGGGTGGGCCTTGTTTGAAGGTCAGTCTGCCCAGTGGGCTGGCTCAGCCCGAATGAACTCTCTTGAATCTTTGGAGTTTTCTGTGTACTTTTAAGGGTTTCTCATCCTTGCACCAAAAGATCTCCTGGAAATTAGGTGGGAAAACCTTAACTTTTGTGGGGCCTTGTGTTTGTCTTAAAAGTTCATGCACATGGCCAGGTGTGGTGGCTCACGCCTGTTATCCTGTCCTGGATCACTTGAGTCAAGGAGTTTGAGACCAATCTGGACAACATAGTGAGACCCCGTCTCTACAAAAAAAAAAAAAAAAATAGTAGCCAGGGGTGGTTGTGCACATCTGTAGTCCTACCTACTACTGTGGCTGAGGAGGGAGGAGCACTTGAGCCTGCACTGAGCTGTGATCTCACCAGTGTATTCCAGCCTGGGCCACACAGCAACACCTTGACTCAAAAAAGAAAAACCAACAAGAAAAATTCTTGAAGATTTTACATTCTGTCTCACTATCGATTGGTTTTCATGTCAAGATAATGTCAGAAATTCTTTACAATTGCTTCCAGAAGGAGTAGCCTTTTGATCTAGTGCACAGGTGTCCAGTCTTTTGGCTTCTCAGGGCCACATTGGAAGAAGAATGCTCCTGGGCCACAGATAAAATACACTACTGCTAATGATAGCTGAGGAGCTTAAAGAAAAAAAGGTTTGTGCATAATTTTCATGATACCCACCACCACAGATAGGCTGAAAAGTCCTTGTAGTCAAAGGGTTGGACACAGCTGATCTAGTGTCTTGTCGTCCGTTTTGACTTTCTCCCTGACTCCAGAATGCAGGTAGAGGTGTAGAGACGTGCTCTCAGGACAGGTGTTGAGATAAAAAAATTCGTTGTCATTTATTCCCAAGGACAGCTGTTTGTCATTTGTATTGAAAAAGTTTCCATTCAAACCGCTGTCACATATAAAATCTATTTATATGTCTGTATGTTTCTGTTGTCTTGGCTTTTGTGGGCAGCAGTGTGTTTTAATGGAGCAAACTGTCCTTCCAAATAATGAAGCCGAAGTCAGCCTACCTGCTTGCCATTTTTCTTCCCCTTCCATTTTTCTAACCTCAGGATAATTGTAAGAATGAATTAAGATTTGTGTTTAAGGCCAGGCACAGTGTCTCAGGCCTGTAATCTCAGCACTTTGGGAGGCAGAGACGGATGTATCGCTTGAGCTCAGGAGTTGAAGACCAGCCTTGGCAACATACTGAGACTCTGTCTTGTATAATTAAATTAATATTTAAAAAAAGGAAAGAAAAGGACCAGTGTTTAAAATTTAAAAAAAAGGGGGGGAAAGTATAATGCAAAATGTGGACTATGCTAGCTATGATTGGGAAAAATAATTTTTCATACAGCATTATCTGTTGACTTGTATTAGCAGCACACTGGTCATAAGCGTTTTGCTTTCATCAAATATGAGGTAAGCTACTTTAAAGTGTGGTGGGGCTTTCTTCCGCATGGCTCCTGGAGGTGTTGAGTCCCAATTTAGCCAATTAATTGGGGTTTAGTTTTGATATGGATAAGGGAGACCGGCTTCATTCATGATGCACACACAGTTTTGCCAGTAAGGAAAAAAAACGCAACCTGAATGTTTCTACTCATTAGATGCTATCTGGAGAGCTCCTACCCCAATGCCACAAAGGCCCAGGCCCTTAAAAAGACTCAATGCAGCCTTTGTGTGTCTCATACTGTATTCTGCAAGATACTCCTGTGAAAGAAATTTGTGCTGCATCAGCCATCTCCCTCCTGAAGATCCCTGCGGATGACGATTTGTGTTTTAAAGGTTCTGAGAAGTCCTGCAAAAACAGTTCTCAAACTTATTTGTCCAGGGGATCTTTTCTTCCACTGAACATAGTTGGGTAGACACGGCCTTAAGCCTTGAGCAGAGAAAGAGACAAGAAACTGTTGGCTCACTTACAACCAAGTGTTGTGTTTATGTTTTAGGTTTTTATGAAACTGAGGTGCTGTTTGAGGTTCTGAATCAAATTGGGTGGTTGAAGAGAGGCTGGTATACCTGTAGACTTAGCCAGCCATGAGAGGTTGACTTCTGTTGAAGGAGGTGTTTTACAAAGGGAAATAGGGTGTCTCCTGGGCATCACATTAGCACTTAAATACATGTATCACCGAAATGAAATGAAATGAAATGATGAAAATGATGACATGAAATGAAATGAAATGATGAAATGATGAAACGAAATGATGAAATGAAGAAATGAAATGAAATGACAAAATGATGAAATGAAATGAAATGATGAGATGAGATGAAATGGTGAAATGAAATGAAATGCTGAAATGAAATGAAATGATGAAATGATGAAATGGAATGATGAAATGAAATGATGAAATGGTGAAATGAAATGAGGAAATGAAATGAAATGCTGAAATGAAATGATGAAGTGAAATGGTGAAATGAAATGAAATGAAATGATGAAATGAAATGAAAAGATGAAATGATGAAATGGAATGATGAAATGGAATGATGAAATGAAATGATGAAATGGTGAAATGAAATGAGGAAATGAAATGAAATGCTGAAATGAAATGATGAAGTGAAATGGTGAAATGAAATGAAATGATGAAATGAAATGAAAAGATGAAATGATGAAATGAAGAAATGGTATGAAATGATGAAATGAAATGACAAAATGAAGTGAAATGATGAAATAATGAAATGAGGGGTGGAGCCAAGATGGCTGAATAGGAACAGCTCTGGTCTACAGCTCCCAGCGTGAGCGACGCAGAAGACGGGTGATTTCTGCATTTCCATCTGAGGTACCGGGTTCATCTCACTAAGGGAGTGCCAAACAGTGGGTGCAGGACAGTGGATGCAGTGCACCATGTGGGAGCCGAAGCAGGGAGAGGCATTGCCTCACTCAGAAAGCACAAGGGGTCAGGGAGTTCCCTTTCCTAGTCAAAGAAAGGGGTGACAGACTGCACCTGGAAAATAGGGTCACTCTCAACCTAATACTGTACTTTTCCAACAGGCTTGGAAAACAGCACACCAGGAGATTGTGTCCCGCACCTGGCTCAGAGGGTCTTATGCCAATGGAGTCTTGCTGATTGCTAGCACAGCACTCTGAGATCAAACTGCAAGGCAGCAGCGAGGCTGGTGGAGTGGGACCCGCCATTGCCCAGGCTTTCTTAGGTAAACAAAGCAGCCAGGCAGCTGGAACTGGGTGGAGCCCACAACAGCTCCAGGAGGCCTGCCTGCCTCTGTAGGCTCCACCTCTGGGGGCAGGGCACAGACACACAAAAAGTCAGCAGTAACCTCTGCAGACTTAAATGTCCCTGTCTGACAACTTTGAAGAGAGTAGTGGTTCTCCCAGCACGCAACTGGAGATCTGAGAATGGGCAGACTGCCTCCTAAAGTGGGTCACTGAACCCCAAGCAGCCCAACTGGGAGGCACCCTCCAGTAGGGACAGACTGACACCTCACTCGGCCGGGTAGTCCTCTGAGACCAAACTTCCAGAGGAATGATCAGATAGCTGAATTTGTGATTCACGAAAATCCGCTGTTCTGCAGCCACCGCTGCTGATACCCAGGCAAACAGGATCTGGCGTGGACCTCTAGAAAACTCCAACAGACCTGCAGCTGAGGGTCGTGTCTGTTAGAAGGAAAACTGACAAACAGAAAGGACACCCACACCAAAAACCCATCTGTACATCACCATCATCAAAGACCAAAAGTTGATAAAACCACAAAGATAGGGAGAAAACAGAAAAACTGGAAACTCTAAAAAGCAGAGTGCCTCTCCTTCTCCAAAGGAACGCAGTTCCTCACCAGCAACAAAACTGGACAGAGAATAACTTTGATGATTTGAGAGAAGAAGGCTTCAGATGATCAAACTACTGTGAGCTACAGGAGGAAATTCAAACCAATAGCAAAGAAGTTAAAAACTTTGAAAAACAATTAGACGAGTGTATAACTGGAATAACCAATGCAGACAAATGCTTAAAGGATCTGATGGAGCTGAAAGCCAAGTTTCGAGAACTACGTGAAGAAGGCAGAAGCCTCAGGAGCCAATGCAATCAACTGGAAGAAAAGGTATCAGTGATGGAAGATGAAATGAATGAAATGAAGGGAGAAGGGAAGTTTAGAGAAAAAAGAATAAGAAGAAATGAACAAAGCCTCCAGGAATTATGGGACTATGTGAAAAGACCAAACCTACGTCTGATTGGTGTAGCTGAAAGTGACGGGGAGAATGGAACTAAGTTGGAAAACACTCTGCAAGATATTATCCAGGAGGACTTCCCCAATCTAGTAAGGCAGGCCAACATTCAGATTCAGGAAACACAGAGAACGCCACAAGGATACTCCTTAAGAAGAGGAACTCCAAGACACATAATTGTCAAATTCACCAAAGATGAAATGAAGGAAAAAATGTTAAGGGCAGCCAGAGAGAAAGGTCCGGTTACCCACAAAGGGAAGCCCATCAGACTAACAGCTGATCTCTCAGCAGAAACTCTTCAAGCCAGAAGAGAGTGGGGGCCAATATTCAACATTCTTAAAGAAAGTAATTTTCAACCCAGAATTTCATATCCAGCCAAACTAAGCTTCATAAGTGAAGGAGAAATAAAATCCTTTACAGACAAGCAAATGCTCAGAAATTTTATCACCACCAGGCCTGCCCTAAAAGAGCTCCTGAAGGAAGCACTAAACATGGAAAGGAACAACTGGTACCAGCCACTGCGAAAACATGCCAAATTGTAAAGACCATCAAGACTAGGAAGAAACTGCATCAACTAACGAGCAAAATAACCAGCTAACATCATAATGACAGGATCAAATTCACACATAACAATATTAATTTTAAATGTAAATGGGCTAAATGCTCCAATTAAAAGACACAGACTGGCAAATTGGATAAGAAGACAAGACCCATCAGTGTGCTGTATTCAGGAAACCCATCTCACATGCAGAGACACACATAGACTCAAAATAAAGCAATGGAGGAAGATCTACCAAGCAAATGGAAAACAAAAAAAGGCAGGGGTTGCAATCCTAGTCTCTGATAAAGCAGACTTTAAACCAAAAAAGATCAAAAGAGACAAAGAAGGCCATTACATAATGGTAAAGGGATCAATTCAACAAGAAGAGCTAACTATCCTAAATATATATGCACCCAAAACAGGAGCACCCAGATTCATAAAGCAAGTCCTGAGTGACCTACAAAGAGACTTAGACTCCCCCACAATCATAAGGGGAGATTTTATCACGCCACTGTCAACATTAGACAGATCAACGAGGCAGAAAGTTAGCAAGGACACCCAGGAATTGAACTCAGCTCTGCACCAAGCGCACCTAATAGACATCTATGGAACTCTCCACCCCAAATCAACAGAATATACATTTTTTTCAGCACCACACCACACCCATTCCGAACTTGATCACATAGTTGGAAGTAAAGCTCTCCTCAGCAAATGTAAAAGAACAGAAATTATAACAAACTGTCTCTGACACCACAGTGCAATCAAACTAGAACTCAGGATCAAGAAACTCACTCAAAACCGCTCAACTATATGGAAAATGAACAACCTGCTCCGGAATGACCACTGGGTACATAACAAAATGAAGGCAGAAATAAAGATGTTCTTTGAAACCAACGAGAACAAAGACAAAACATACCAGAATCTCTGGGACACACTCAAAGCAGTGTGTAGAGGGAAAGTTATAGCACTAAATGCCCACAAGAGAAAGCAGGAAAGATCCAAAATTGACACTCTAACATCACAATTAAAAGAACTTGAAAAGCAAGAGCAAACACATTCAAAAGCTAGCAGAAGGCAAGAAATAACTAAAATCAGGGCAGAACTGAAGGAAATAGAGACACAAAAAACCCTTCAAAAAATTAATGAATCCAGGAGCTGTTTTTTTGAAAAGATCAACAAAATTGATAGACCACTAGGAAGACTAATAAAGAAGAAAAGAGAGAAGAATCAAATAGATGCAACAAAAAATGATAAAGGGGTTATCACCACCGATCCCACAGAAATACAATCTACAATCACAGACAACTACAAACACCTCTATGCAAATAAACTAGAAAATCTAGAAGAAATGGATAAATTCCTTGACACATACAGTCTCCCAAGACTAAACAAGGAAGAAGTTGAATCTCTGAATAGACCAATAACAGGCTCTGAAATTGTGGCAATAATCAATAGGTTACCAACCAAAAAGAGTCCAGGACCAGATGGATTCACAGCCGAATTCTACCAGAGGTACAAGGAGGAACTGGTACCATTCCTTCTGAAACTATTCCAGTCAATAGAAAAAGAGGGATTCCTCTCTAACTAATTTTATGAGGCCAGCATCATCCTGATACCAAAGCCGGGCAGAGACACAACCAAAAAAGAGAATTTTAGACCAATATCCTTCATGAACATTGATGCAAAAATCGTCAATAAAATCCTGCAAACCGAATCCAGCAGCACATCAAAAAGCTTATCCACCATGATCAAGTGGGCTTCATCCCTGGGATGCAAGGCTGGTTCCACATATGCAAATCAATAAACGTAATCCAGCATATAAACCTAACCAAAGACAAAAACCACATGATTATCTCAATAGAAGAAGAAAAGGCCTTTGACAAAATTCAACAGCCCTTCATGCTAAGAATTCTCAATAAATTAGGTATTGATGGGAAGTATCTCAAAATAATAAGAGCTATCTATGACACACCCACAGCCAATATCATACTGAATGGGCAAAAACTGGAAGCATTCCTTTTGAAAACTGGCACACGACAGGGATATCCTCTGTCACCGCTCCTATTCAACATAGTGTTGGAAGTTCTGGCCAGGGCAATCAGGCAGGAGAAGGAAACAAAGGGTATTCAATTAGGAGAAGAGGAAGTAAAATTGTCCCTGTTTGCAGATGACATGATTGTATATCTAGAATACCCCATTGTCTCGGCGCAAAACCTCCTTAAGCTGATAAGCAACTCCAGCAAAGTCTCAGGATACAAAATCAATGTACAAAAATTACAAGCATTCTTGTACATCAATAACAGACAAACAGAGTGCCCAATCATGAGGGAACTCCCATTCACAATTGCTCCAAAGAGAATAAAATACCTAGGAACCCAACTTACAAGGGACATGACGGACGTCTCCAAGGAGAACTACAAACCACTGCTCAATGAAATAAAAGAGGATACAAACAAATGGAAGAACATTCCATGCTCATGGGTTGGAAGA
Organism: Homo sapiens; assembly: GCF_000001405.40. Taxonomy (NCBI): domain Eukaryota; kingdom Metazoa; phylum Chordata; class Mammalia; order Primates; family Hominidae; genus Homo; species Homo sapiens. The sequence goes on from NC_000002.12 coordinate 91,451,473, forward strand.
ATCAATATCGTGAAAATGGCCATACTGCCCAAGGTAATTTATAGATTCAATGCCATACCCATCAACCTACCAATGACTTTCTTCACAGAATTTGAAAAAACGTCTTTAAAGTACATGTGGAACCAAAAAAGAGCCCACATTGCCAAGTCAATCCTAAGCCAAAGGAACAAAGCATCACGCTACCCGATTTCAAACTATACTACAAGGCTACAGTAACCAAAACAGCATGTTACTGGTACAAAAACACAGACATAGATCAATGGAACAGAACGGAGCCCTCAGAAATAATGCCGCATAACTACAACTGTCTGATCTTTGACAAACCTGAGAAAAACAAGAAATGGGGAAAGGATTCCCTATTTAATAAATGGTGCTGGGAAAACTGGCTAGCCATATGTAGAAAGCTGAAACTGGATCCCTTCCTTACACCTTATGCAAAAATTAATTCAAGTTGGATCAAAGACTTACATGTTAGACCTAAAACCATAAAAACCCTAGAAGACAACCTAGGCAATACCGTTCAGGACATAGGCGTGAGCAAGGACTTCATGTCTAAAACACCAAAAGCAATGGGAACAAAAGCCAAAATTGACAAATGGGATCTAATTAAACTAAAGAGCTTCTGCACAGTAAAAGAAATTACCATCAGAGTGAACAGGCAACCTACAAAATGGGAGAAAATTTTTGCAACTTACTCATCTGACAAAGGGCTAATAACCAGAATCCACAATGAACTCAAACAAATTTACAAGTAAAAAACAAACAACCCCATCAAAAAGTGGGTGAAGAACACGAGCAGACACTTCTCAAAAGAAGACATTTATGCATCCAAAAAACACATGAAAAAATGCTCATAATCACTGGCCATCAGAGAAATGCAAATCAAAACCACAATGAGATACCATCTCACACCAGTTAGAATGGCGATCATTAAAAAGTCAGGAAACGGCAGGTGCTGGAGAGCATGTGGAGAAATAGGAACAATTTTACACTGTTGGTGGGACTGTAAACTAATTCAAACATTGTGGAAGTCAGTGTGGCGATTCCTCAAGTATCTAGAACTAGAAATACCATGTGACCCAGCCATTCCATTACTGGGTATATACACAAAGGACTATGAATCATGCTGCAATAAAGACACATGCACACATATGTTTATTGCGGCAGTATTCAGAATAGCAAAGACTTGGAACCATCCCAAATGTCCAACAACGATAGACTGGATTAAGAAAATGTGGCACATATACACCATGGAGTACTATGCAGCCATAAAAAATGATGAGTTCATGTCCTATGTAGGGACATGGATGAAACTGGAAATCATCATTCTCAGTAAACTCTCGCAAGGAGAAAAAACCAAACACCACATGTTCTCATTCATAGGTGGGTATTGAACAATGAGAACACACGGACACAGGAAGGGGTACATCACACTTCGGGGACTGTTGTGGGGTGGGGGGAGTGGGGAGGGATAGCATTAGGAGATATACCTAATGCTAAATGACGAGTTAATGGGTGCAGCACAGCAACATGGCACATGAACCCTTATGTTAAAAACCTGCACATTGTGCACATGTATCCTAAAACTTAAGGTATAATAATAAAATAAAATAAAATAAAAAAACAAAATATACACTAATACACATTAACCAACTTAAAAAAATAGTAGAGAAAGGTCATTTAAAAAATATGAAGGATAGAGTAATAATCTAACACGTTGAAATCTAAGAAGGAGAAAACAGCTTGTCTGAACAGCATTTTAAGTGGCAATGTTAGAGGTTTTATCAAAATTGACCAATAATATTAAACCTCAGGTTCAGGAGACTTTTCAAAGCAAAGGAAAACACACACAGAGGACACATCTAGAAACATAATGGGGCAATTTCTGAAAAGTAAAAGAAAAATGTAAAGAGCACTTGATAAAAAAAAAAAATTGGACTAACTACAAAGAGAAAGAGTTGACTGATAACAACTTTCTCAAATGAAACAACGAAAGCCAACAAGTGAGGTACTGATATCTTTCAAGTCCTGAAATAAAATAAGTGCTGACCTAGAACTGTCTACTTGGTGGACATATCCATCAAAACAAAGATACAATAAAGAATTTCTCCCAAGCAGACACACAGGAAAAGAAATACTAAACATTATTCTTCAGGTAGAAGAGCCATGATCCCTGATGAAAATTTGCATTTAGAAGAACAATTTTTTTAATGAAAGAAATAAACATAGAGAGAAATTTAATTGGATATCGACTGTATAACAGAATGCTATCTCATAAAGTTTAAAATATATCTTCCGTACAATGGCAGAAGCATATAAGTTGTGAGTTGGATAAATTAATTTTAAAATATTGTCAAGTTTTTTTTTTTTTTTTTTTTTTTTTTGCAAATAGACAAATGGACCAATTACATTAGACCCTGAATCCAAGAATACACGTTGTATTAAACCAGGTAAAATATAACCAGACCAGATTTTTTAAATGGACTCTCTTAAAGTTTTTATAATTTATATTCATATTTCACATATGTTGAAAGTAAATAATGGAAAAGCATGCAATGCAAATATTAACCAAAATATAGCTTTAGTTGTACTTATATTCACATTTTAAAAGTTGGACACAGTTAAGTCTCAGTGATTTTTTTACACAACGGAGGCAAGCTGTGCAGTTTTAACTAGTATTATATTATGCTCTTGGCCTGATTACAGAAGGGAAAGGGGAGATCATACCAGACAATGGCAGAATGAAGCAACAAGGAGTAGAGTTACAGAACATGATGCTGTAACTTGGACTGGAGTTACTCTTTTCGAGTTAAAGAATAGTAAACAGGACAAAATATATGAAACATTTTTTTGAAGTACTGAACATCGGCAGCGCAGGACTGTGCTCTGCAAGAGAAGAGAAGGAGCCAGAATGAGTCCTGCATTATTCCCAGATTCTCCGTGACAGCAGTAGAGAAGAATCCCAGAGACAGCAGACATTGTCATTGCACTGAGGAACCAGATAAAAATCAAAAAAGGTTAAGTAGCTGGAATGTGTAGTAGAAGAGAACGTTTACAGAAAAAGGAACCAAGAATCAGCCTAAGGATTCTCCCAAGTCCCTAAGCCAAATGTACATAGGATGAAATTCTAAGGAGCTCAGCAAAAGACTCTACCAGGGAGTTGGAAGAAGAACACTTCCCTGGCATCACATGACAGGAAGACACGTTAGTTGTGACCAGCCAGAGATGGGAATCCCCTCTGTACCTCCAGGATATTCAGTAAAGACCACTGGAGGTTCATGCCCTAGTGACAGTGCTCATTTAGCTCCAAATTACAGATGGCTCTAGACTAACTCAACAAATTTTAAAGAGGAGATTTAAAGCAACAACAGAAAAATACTCATCCTGAAGTTACTGAACTGCCTGCCACAACATTGTTCAAAGGTAGCCAATCAAATCTAGATATTCAATAGCATAACACCAAAATACCCCCCCCCAAAAAAAACTCTGACATGCAAAGAAGCCGTAAGATATATATAATTAAGATATATATTAACAGGATAAAAATAAGTCATTTATAAATGACAGAAAAGAAGGAAATTTCAAGGTCCTTAAAGTAAATATATTTTATAAATACATATAGATAAATACATATATATGTCAAGGTACTTAAATGAAAATTGAACATAGGAGAAAAATAGAAGTTATAAAATGAAAAATATGACATGTATAGATGAAAAATAAATATTTTAAATAAAAATTCCATGAGATAGAATAAGTAATGGATTTTACCCTAACATCAGAAAATTTATAGAACAAAATAGAAGCTTTACAAACTAAAGGACAAAGGGTAAACTAAAATAAGAAAGCCAGAAACTCACTGATACGTCAGACAATATGCAGCAGTGTAACATACATGTAATTAATATCTCAAAAAGGATGGGTGGGGGAATTACAGGTGAATAAAGAATGGTACACTCATTCCTGAGGGCACCGAGGAGGGAGGATAGCTTTAGATTCCTAAGGGAGGGTATTATCCATTCATGAAGGTCGAACCCCATGACCAAACACCTCCCAGTAAGCCCCACCTGCAATATTGGGGATCAAATTTTAACCTGAGATTGGAAGGGGCAAGCATTCAAACCATAGCAAGAGTTAAATTTCCTTTTAAAAAAAATCACCGATATGATTCCATTTCGCCATAGATAAAAGCTAGTATTTCAGCCTACCATTGAGTGTGCTTATAGCTCACCAAAAGGGCACTCTGTCTCGGGAATACAGATTTGCCTAGAGGTATCCTGTTGCAGTCAAAGAAAGAGCATTGAGGGATAGAAAAGGTTAGTGATGGAGACACCAGCGCTGCATTTTGCAACAAACAATGTAAAAACTTTACGGATTGGTTCTGCTAACTTACTACAGTTTACATTCCTCTCATGTGGGAGAATTGTTGCGTTTTTTCTTAAGTTAGAAAAGCAATTCAGATAATCTGAAATCTCCACAAGAAGGATAAGAAGCACAGCAGAAACTATTCCAGGCAGGAAGTCAGTCCTTTCAACTGTCTGTGCTCCATAGAAACAATTGTCTGCACTGGGAGTCATATGAGGTACAGACAACAGCCAGACCTCTGATCCTCTCATTAGCAATTTCAGAAGAAATTACCAGTCAACTGAGTAATTCACTGAGTTAAGTAAACATTTGGCACTGAAAGAGGTTAGACGGATAACTATTTGTATCACCATATTCATGAAGCTGGAATATTTTCCATTACTGGTATCACATCCGAATGGAAGATGTTAAAAGGTCTCTCATCTTGTAAGATGGATATGAAAGAACATTTTCTGAGAAATGAAATTATTAACACACCTGCGAGGTGGATGGAAGAGAAAAAAAAGAATAAGCAGCTTGAGTTCTTCTCCTTGATAAGACAACTCACTAAAAACATAAAGAGAAAAATACAAGTTTAAAACAATTAACCAGAAGAAGACGACTCTAGAGTTTTTAAATTGTTGATAAGATTTTAATTTGCTCCAAGTTGAAAATAATTATATTCCTTGTGTTTTAAGGCACATGATGAGCAATTACATCACACATGATAGTTTCAGCAGTAAAATAGTATCCGTTAACAGCTGGAACTCATAAAAGCATAGCACAATGTGAAGATGGAATTTGCTAAAATAAACCATCTGCTGAAAACTACTATTCTGCACATTTAAAAGTAAAGTCTAAATGTTATTTGTCTCATTTAATAGGTCTGTGAAAAAATGCGCTATTTGAAAAGTAGGTGCTACCTTAATTAATTCTTTATATTAGATGGCTGGTTACAGTAATGCACAGTGAGGTGCTACATAGATATATTGCTAAATTTTCTGCATATACTATGTATTTGGCTTAAATTATTTGAAATTTTATAGTTAAAATAACAAATGTATATTTAAATGTTTTGACACAAATTGCAAATATACCTTTAAAAAGAGTCTTACACTCTAAATATTATTTGTCACCTACATATTTGTCTTTTCTCTATAGGAAATTTTAAATTTTTCCCTTGAAGCTTTAATTATTTGAGTCTATAAAACAAACTGATAATGTACAAATTAACAGGAAAAAAAGGTTTACAGATATGTGCACAAGTATGCACTTGGAGTTTACATAATATATATAAATATATCTATACAAATATTTGTATATTATAAATAGATATACAAATATATACTATATATATAAAAACTCCAGGAAAGGCAAGGTAGTCAACAGGCCTATGCTGTCTTGAGGTTACAGAAAACACAGAGCTGTAGGTTGGTAAATCAGGCTTTGCGGAAGACAGGTGACGACAAGGAAGAAAGAGGAGTCTGGCAGCAGAGGTGGTCTTGTTACATGGATGAAACCTCACAGGGAGAAGCCCTCCCTTGGGAAGTATAGATAGGAAATGGTTTTTGGAAATGGTTTTTAGAAATATAAACGTGCCAGGCTCAGTTAATCTTTCCTAAACCCAGACAAGGGAGTATCTCAGGGAAAGCCTGTCTATATCAATGCAGATTTTCTCTACCTCCAGTCTTCCGAGCAGCCATCTTGAAATACGTCAAAAAGCTGCCCAGGCGAACACCTGTAGTCCCAGCATTTTGGGAGACTGAAGTGGGTAGATCACCTGAAGTCAGGAGTTGGAGACCAGCCTGACCAACATGGGGAAACCCCGTCTCTACTAAATACAAAAAATTAGCCAAGTGTGGTGGTGCATGCCTGTAATCTCAGCTACTTGGGAGGCTGAGCTAGGAGAATTACTTGACCCTGGGAGGCTGAGGTTGCAGTGAGCCAAGATTGTGCCATTGCACTTCAGCCTGGGCAATAAAAGCAAAACTCCATCTCAAAAAAAATGTATTTTAGGGTAATATTTTGAGTATCTTTACCTCCATATGTACAATAAATATTATTGTGATTTTTAATCTTTACTCTTCTGTGAAGAAAACACAGGTGTGATTTCTAGTGTAGCTGCACATCTTTTATTTGACAATATTGCACTTGTGTGTCGGTGTGTGGGTGTGTAGCTACTCTTTAATTTTGTTCTCACATAATGATTAGATATTAACAATTAATTCAGTAAAATGTATGTTTTGCAATATTTCTCCATGATATTATGCTTTAAATTAGTTTAATCATGCCCCTATAATGTGTACATTTTAACCTTTGACAATAGGTCTCAATCTTACTTTGATTCCTGTATTTGAATTTATGCTAATGAAGTCCTACAGCTGAAAAAGATTATATAAACTTATCTACATTTTTACTAGTATTCTGGTGTCATTTTACATTATGTAATGAAATCAAATTTTAATTTGGATTATTGTTATCTGAGTTAAGGATCTAAATTTGTAATTTTCTTATAAATATTACATAATTATTTCTGAACCATATATTGACTAATCTGCCCTTTATATGATGTGCATTATAAGAGCTTGGGATTGTTTCATTTGCAAAGATGAATGCTTGAGAAGTAGATAATTAATCATAACATTTCAAAATCTACTGGATAACCTAGAATTGAAAAATAGCCTATAGGTTGAAAAACTCCTGTAGTGAAGAAAGAAAATAACTAATATACAGTGACAATATAAATATTATAAGTATTTATTTTATTATCGTCCTGAAATTTGATAATACAAACATGTACTATCTACATATCATCCATATATCAGGTCAGAAAAAATCAATACATTCTTCAAAAATTTAGCATAACAGAAAATGCACTCTCTCTCCTTCATGGAATTAAGTTACAAATAAAAGTAAAAATAAGTAGATAAGTAGATGGAAGTAGATGTTTAAAAACAAAGAAAAATATTTGTTTTGGATAACATAAAATCTCAATTGACAGTTCCAATATTTCCAGAACTTTGACTGTCAACTTGCGGAGAGTTTTCCCCAGGAGACATTTGTCAATGTCTAGGGTTATTGTGGGGATGTCAAGACTGGTGGAGGTGTGAAATGTAGAGGTCAAACCAAACACCTAGCATTGCTAGGGAAGCCTCCCACAACAAAGAATCCTCTGGTCCTAAAGGTAAGTAGCACCAAGGTTGAGAAACCATAATCTAGACAGTAAACACTACGTAGCTATTCCAAGTGCTCAGGAAAACACATCAGTGCCCTCGAGGGGAAAAGTGTAAACACTTTAATTGCTGTACATGGTGACACAAATCCATGTTGTTAATCTAAGTGGAAGGGGCTGAAGCACACAACGTAATTCAAAGAGTTTACTTGAGCCACGATGAGGACAGCTGCCTGGAAGAAACAGACCCAAGTATCCTTGGATATGAACTCCCTTTGGAGCTTTGCAACAAGCAGTTTCTTAAAGGCAAAAAAGGGTCCAGAAGTGGGATGATCCAAAGAGGTTTGTCACAAATTCTCATTGGCTTATGGAAATAACATTTATTAGTGACTGGTTATACACTGTTACACTATTATTGGGTGTGGATTATAGTGTCTGGTGTGGCGTTATTGGTTAATTTATAGCTACTGTGGCAACAGCAAGCAGCCTAGATGAACACACAGCTCAAAGAGGAGCAGGACAGAACTGCCGTCTCATTTGAATATCTCTCTGGGCCTGATTATTTAAAAGGACTTGCATTTCTCACATGAAAGTTATTTTCTTTTCTCCATGTCCATAAATGAGAATAAATAGACGTAAAATAGATCTTTTCGAGGATGAAGTAAATGGAATGAAAAACAAAACCCAAGCTGACCAGAAATCATAGAGGGAAGAAAAGGTTATAAATATATGGATTTTTCAAAGTGATTTTAAGCTATTAGGAATCAGTTAAATGTTGGGGGATTTTGTCTGAGAATGGGCTAAAGGAGAATGTCCCTTTTGCCTTCTGAAGTTTCCCTGAAAATCACTAATAGGAGGCAGATACATAGTAGAAAAGGCATACAGGTTTCTGCAATGTGTGTACACTGGAGCCCTTAGAACGAAGACCCAGACACACGATGCGTGCAGAAGCTTATCTACCACATGAAGTTTACAGAAAGAATGGGGTCTTGGATCACAGGGAAAAAAAAAAAAAGGTTATGTGAGAAAACGACCCTGGCTAGCAAGAGTGGACTTATTACATAGGTGGAACCTCACTGGGAGCAGTCCTCAGAGAGAATGGACAGAAAATGTTTCTTTCAGACCTTTGGAGACCTCAGACTCTCAGTTAACCTTTCCTAGATCCAGACAAGGGGGCAGACCTCAGAGAAAGCCTGGCTGCATCAAGGCAGATTCTCTACCAATGCAAATCTCCCCAAGACAGCTTTGCAGCTATGTTAGCATTTCCAGCCCTTCTCAATAGCCATTTTGAAATATATCAAGGAAATATATTTAGGGGTAAAATATATTAGTTTCCTTCATACAGCTATAAAACATACAGGAATAATTTTTGTCAATGTCTACTACAAATCCAATATAGCAGTAATTATAAAACCCACCAGATATCGAAGAAAAAATATGTAGAGTACATCAATTACCAATGTTGATACTAAAATGCCAAATAAAATAAAAATAATATCCAACAATATTTGAAAGAGTAAGACAAGAAATTGGCAAAAAATAAAACAAATATCCACCTTGGAGATGAAAGTGTGTTTCCAAATTTGGTAATCCAATAATATTAATAATCATGTTGATTAGCACAAATTAAAAATAAATAGGGGATTCTCAGTACATGCTAAAATATATTTATTAAAAGGCAATATTCATGACTTTAAAGATTTTAAATGCTCTAAAGAGTCTGATATTCTATATGCAAATATGTGTATGTCCACTACAAGAAGAGAGGCCTGATTTTCATGTGTTACTACATAGAGATAGAGAAGTGGATAGATTAATTTGCATATGCATAGAGAAAGCATAAAATAGAAATTTACTATCATATTAAAGGAATTTAAATTCAACAATAAAATAATTCAAAGGTAAAATTTTAACTATTTTTAACAGGTACATTATTAATATTAGATAATATTTATAATAATTGTGAAAATATTCAATGCTAAAATAAGATAGTATGTCTAAACACCAGTATTAAAACTAGTATAAATATTTGCTTGTTTATACAAGGAAAATTCAAGCTTGACCTAAAATTATATAGGAAAGAAAAGAAAAATTTTAAGGGAGCTCTTTAACAACATAAACATATATATATACACACACACATATAACATGTATATATGTTATATGGGATAGATATAGATTTAACATGTTATATCTATATTTGTATCTGTAACTACAGCTGTATGTATCTACATTTCTATATATTTACTCTGATATAAATATAGACTGGAATAAATATAAAGGCACATATGATTCTTGGATTAAAAGGATTTAGTATCATAAAGACAAATTCTTTCCAAATTCACCTATGAATTCACAACAATATACAGTTTCATTAGTATAATTTAAAATTTTTAAATAAATTCCAAGATTCATTTAAAGGAATATACATATATACAAGCAGTCAAGAAAGAAGCAAGAGTGCACTAAACTAACTTGCTTTTAAAATACACTTTTAAACTTAGCAACTAAAACTGAGCAGTACTGATTTGGAGTACTGGAATTTAGGTATATGGGATCTCAAAAGCACAGAGCTCAAAGGAGACCGCTGTATGCACGAGAGCTTAGGATGTGCTTTAGAAGGCATTACCAAACCACGGGAAAAGTTACTTTAGTGTCTTAGTCTTACTAGGTTTGAAAAGCCAGAAAAAAGACTCAAAACCACCATATAAGAGCAAAACAAAAGGACAGGGAGAGAATGTGAAGATACTGAAACATTTTACATAAAGTTGTATAAAACATCCTTTAAGGAAAATGTAAAGTTTAGGATATTCATCAAAATCAGCAGAGCCACTAAATAAATAAATAGGCATTGTAAAATAGCAAGAGAAAATTTAAATGGATTTCTAAAAAATATTGACACCTATGATTTTTAAAATATGTTTAAGAAATCCCGTATTTCACAGGGCAGCCTTTCACAACACAGATATGTTAGGACATAAAGGTCTTTCTGTTTTTAATTTACTAGTGTTTATAGGGTTACAAATGTCTTCTACCCTTGTCTTTTGTCTGATGGTGCAAAAAATTTTCATAAGCATGTATTTCTGAATGCCTGATGGATTGACATATATAATATGCTGCTAGTATTAAAATATGTGACGGAAAACGCATCCAATCTTCTCACTGTTTACATAAATTCTAGGTTTCTCCTATTTACCTCAAGCACGTATGGAGCGAATTCTTACCTTGTAATATTGCCATGGCATTCACATTGAACATAAGTTGAACTCTCTCATATGGTAGCTGGGTTCAGATTCCCTTGACAATTTCCAGTTCTAACCCTCACAGTTCCTCAGTGTGGCTGGCCCAGATATTGACCCTACACAGTTGCCTCCTCCTGGTGACTACCAGCTATGGAACCGTTGGATACAACCTACCTGACTCACCCCACAGACCTCACAGCGCACATGGACAGCCCCCACACGCCAGAGCGACCTGCTCGGTTGCAGCGGGAGTCAAGAAATGTGCCTGCTGGCACTCACCCCACCGACTAGTGCCCCGTGGAAAACTTATTTGGGTAATGTTCTGGGCCCAATGAAGTCTGGAGTCCCACAGACCCTTTTCTCTCTCCAGCTCCCCACTCATCTTCCCCATTTTGTTCAGCCTTGTAAGGTGTGCTACTGTATTAGTCCATTTTCACACCGCCAGTAAAGACATGCCCAAGACTGGGTAATTTCCAGAAGAAAGAGGTTTAATAGACGCACAGTTCCACATAGCTGGGTAGGCCTCACAATCATGGTGCAAGGTGAAAGGCACGTCTCACATGGCAGCAGACAAGAAAAGAGAGCTTGTGCAGGGAAACTCCTCTTTGTAAAACCATCAGATCTTGTGAGACTTATTCACTATCAGAAGAACAGCATGGGAAAGACCTGCCCCCACGATTCAATTTCCTCCCACCTGTTCCCTCCCACAACATGTGGGAATTCAAGATGAGATTTGGCTGGGGACACAGCTAAACCCTCTTCTCAGCTACCCTCTTCTCTCTGGATCTGTGAGTAATAAACCTACTTCTGTGATTTCCCATGTTTGTTCCTGTGGCCTCCATGTCTCTGATCTGACCTACACTGGAACCTAACTCTCCTCTTAGCCAGGGTCTCTGAGAGTGGCTCTTGTCAGAAATACACAGGACATAGGTCAGGCAACAGTCACCAGGCATCTCCTAGTCTCAACAGATGTTCTGTGAGAGGGAGGCCTGGTCGTGGGATGCGAACCTGGCCACTGCTGGGGCAAGGAAGTGCCCTATGAAAGGCACATGTTAAGCATCCACAACCCCCTGACCAGAACCCCAGAAAGGCAGGGCTCCAATTGACAGTCACTCTCCAGAGACAAACCTCAAGCCCTAACTGCAGTAAAAGAAAACAATGTAAAATGTTGAATTTATCTTACTATTTCAATGATCCAGTAAAGACATTCTATGCCTGTACACCACATATTTTCTTCAGTTGTGGATATATTTTAGATAGAATTTTATGTCTGGCTTTCACTTTAGCCTGGTCCCTACCTCTAGCATAAGGTAAAGATTTTCCATGGGTTCTTTTCTGGTACTACTACCTGCCAGTGTGGGGTCATGTCCTAGTCTATCTCGAGGGAACCCCCCTGTTCATTGTTGTCAGAGTGAGACTGTTAAGTCTTGATTTCCCTGGACAACTTCACTCCATGACTTTTAATATGATTTTTCAATATACCCTTTACTGGACAATAAATTATATCGTTATCTGAGTAAGAGATATGGTCAGGAAGAGGCATTGCCTCATTCAGCTTTTCTTTTTGGTGAACTCGCGTATGTTCTCCTCACCCGCCAGTCGCCCCTAAAACGTATTGTTCCAAGACAACAAACAGAACTCGAGTGTGTATCTTTCACCACTGGATTTGTGTTTGCTCCATAAAGCTTCATGCTTAATAGGGTTTCTGTTAGCATTTTCTCTATTTATTTTCCCATAAAATATCACAGGCCTTCTTTCTATGGAATTATGGGTGATTTCCTTCAATCTGCATCATATAAAGTTGAAGTTCATGTTGATGGAGGGTAAAACATACGTTGAAAATATCAGTAATGATGTTTTCCCCTCCTTTTTAGCACCTGTGCTTGTGATACAAGCACATTGTGATACAAGCACAATGTAATACAATTGTAGTCTCATGCTTTGATCATTCCTATGATGAAAATAACATTTTTAGATAATATGTCTGAGTTTTATGAGGCCTTTAGTATGTGATGTGATAGAATATCAGAAGACCATACTTTTTTCTAGTTTTCCATGCAATTCTATCATTGTTTCATCTTTACTCCTACCAGAGTAATTTTCCAAAATAGATACCTTGTCATTCTTCCTGTTGTTATCAGTAAATAAGTGAAATGAAAAGCTAGATTATATAATTTATCTAGAACAAGAAAGTAGAATTGAATCTATATTCATTAATGAGACTAACCAGTCAATTACACAGATAGGCACTTTAGATTTTGAAGATCATATGGACCCATTGTCAGAAATATTATTATTTATGTCTATATGGACATCATCTGTGCATATTTACATAGAAATCAATGAGAACTGATTTTCATTTTTATTATATATTTTTTGAGATAGGGTCTTGCTTTGTTGCCCAGGCTGGAATGCAGTGGTGCAATCACTGCTCACTGCAGCCTCAGCCTCCCAAGCTCAAGCGATCCTTCCACCTTGGCCTCCAAAATAGCTAGGACAACAGGTGCACATCACCATGCCCACTTTTTTTTTTTAACTTTTGATAGAGACTGGGTCTTGCTAGGTTGCCCAGGTTGCTTTTGAACTCCTGGGCTCCAGGAATCCTCTCATTTAAGCCTCTTCAACTGCTGGTATTACAAGCATGAACCACCACATGGGCTGGAAGCTGATTTTTAAAATACTGAGATCATATAGATGACAGCACCTGAAAAATAGACAACACCAAGCTTTATGTTAAAAGGTGTGAGGGTATCAATATTGTTGTGGCTATTGGGGAGGAAAACATTAGTAAAACCAGTAAGTTAAAGCTCTTGCTTTAAACTTTGGCTTTAATTTAACAAATGTTCTATGGAGTGACAGTATGTACGTAACCATGCTATGCCCATTCACAGATGCAGTAGAGGGAAGAATTTCTCAAAGACAACTGTTCTAAGACTCAAATTAATCCGTACTGGGTTTGAAAAGAGAAAGTCCAGGAATTACCCAATATTTTAGATATCAGATAAAAGAGAATGCCAGGTATGCGATGATAATCAGCAATGGTTGTTCACACAATACATCAAATCAGTATTTGAATTAGCTTTTGAATTACAAGGACAAATGGATCAAGTCTAGACTCTTTAGTAGATAAATCTTATTAGGCTGAGATGTGTTTTCCCCTGTTTTTCCACAAGGAGATTACAAATTTGCAAACCTCAGCTGCTCTCATTTTATGCTCTCACCAAGCCAAAAGCTGAAGTTCATCAATCAGTGTGTCTAAGTGTTCACTGGTTATATACCATTTTGTAGTTTCAGCTATCTTTCCAACTTCCTAAATCATCACCTTCATTTGATCTTGTTTTTTTTCCACTATCACTTCTTTATTGACCATATAAAGAATATAAGTAAGTTCTTATTTTGCTATTGTTCATTTCGGTCTAATTTCATCAAAATATCACAATCTTTTAATTTCATTTTAATTTCAAAGATTAAATGAAACCTACATAGAAATGAGTGTAAGATTTGCATTTGCATTATTTTGGCATCAATTTGCTATCCTCCCTCATGCACATAGAGATCATTTCCATGTATGTGATTTCAAACATCCAAGTGCAGTATTAAAAGCAGTTGTAAATTATGGTTCTCATTTTCATGATACAATTACAGTATAAACTTCCTCTTGCTGCTGTAACCAATTACCACAAACTTCATATCTTACAATAAAGTGACCGTTAATCCTACAGTTCTGTAGTTCAGAAGCCTTAAATGAAACTCACAGGGCTAACATCAAGTTTTGGGCAGGGCTGCAGTCTTTCTGAGGGCTATGTGGCAGAATCTATTACTTGATTTTTTTCAGCATCCAGAGGCCACCTTTATTCCTTGGAACATGACCTCATTCTTATATCCTATTTTTCTTTTTTTTTTTTTTTTTTTTTTTTGAGATGGAGTCTCCTTCTGTCACCCAGGCTGGAGTACAGTGGCACGATCTCAGCTCACTGCAACCTCTGCTTCCCAGGTTCAAGTGATTCTTCTGCCTCAGCTTCCTGAGTAGCTTGGACTACAGGCACTTGCCACCATGCCCAGTTAATTTTTTGTATTTTTAGTAGAGATGGGGTTTCACCATGTTAGCCAGGATGGTCTCGATCTCCTGACCTCGTGATGAACCCACCCCAGCCTCCCAAAGTGCTGGGATTAGGCGTGAGCCACCACGCTGGGTCCTCATTCTTGTATCTTAAAAGTAAGTGATGTTGAGTAATTTCTCATGCCACCACCTCCAAGGTTGCCTTTCTTCTGCCTTCTTCTTTCACTTATAAGGAAGTTTGTGATTTCATTGATCCCACCCATTTAAGACAATCTCTCTATCATTTTTCCGCAACCTTAATTTCACTTGAAATCTAATTTCACACTGCCGTGCAACCTAACATATTTGTATGTTAGACTCTGGGAATTAGGAAATGAAAATTTTTGGGAGGCCATTCTTTTGCCTACAGCAGACATAATCTATTTACCTGCAGATTAAAGCGTTCTTTATTTTTCTGTTTCCCTCTCTTAATTTTTTTAAACTAATATGAATTGTAGTAAAGAGAAAGAAAGAAAACAAAGAAAGAAAAAGAAGGAAGGAAGGAAATAAAGAAAGAAGAAAGAAAAGAAGGAGGAAATGAGGGAAGGAAGGGAGGGAGGGAGGAAGGGAGAAAGGCAGGAAGGGAGAAAAAAGAAAGCATGAACACAAGAAAGAAAGAAGGAAAGAAAGAAAGAGAAAGAGAGAGAGAAAGAGAGAAAGAAAGAAAGAAAGAAAGGAAAGGAGGAAGGAAAGGAGGAAGAGAGAATGGCAAAAGGGAGGAAGACAAAGAAACAAAGAAAATAAAGAGGCAAAGGAAGGAAAAAGAGGAAAGGAAGTGAGGGAGGAAGGAAGAAAAGGAGGGCAGGAGGAAGGGAGAAAAAAGGGAAGAAAGCAAGAACGTGAGAAAGAAAGAAAGAATATGAGAAAAGAAGGAAGAAAAGGGAGGGAGAAAGGAAGGGAGGGAGGAGGGAAGGAAGAATAAGAGGAAAGAAAGAAAGAAGAAAAGAAGGAAGGAAGGAGAAAAAAGAAAAGAAAGGAAAAGCAAAAAGGAAAGAAAAGGAAGAGGAAAAGAAGAAAGGAAGGAAGAAGCAAGGGAAGGGAAGAGAAAGGAAGACGGAAAGAAGGAAGCAAGAACGCAAATATTAGAAATTCTGCGTTTGTTAAAGAATATGCCATACTGTTTTTTTTTTTTTTCACTTGAAAGAGTATCTGCCATTGAAGATTGGATGTCTTGTTGGTGATATTGTTGTTCTTATCTTCCACATGATTACTGAGTTTGTGCCTAGTCTTTCCATTACTAAGACAAAAGTGTTGAAGTCTGTAAATATAATTTTGGATTTTTCTAGTTCACCTTTGATTTCTTTCATGTTTTACCTCATGTATTTGGAGGTTCTGTTGTTAGCTGCATACCCTAATTAGTAGGATGTTTACATCTTCTTGAGAACGGATTATTCTATTATCTATTATCTCTCATCTCTGATACTATTGCTTGTTCCGAACTCTGTTGTGTCTAATATCAATGTAGTCCTTCCACAGCTTTATTTTAGTGTTTCCATGATATGGCTTTCTCCATATCTTGATGAAAACCTATTTATATCTCTAAATATTTGGAGCAAGATATAAAACTTAGACTTGATTTTTTAAAGATTTTTCAAGATGTAATTCTTATTTCTTTTTGTTCTATTTGACATTCTCTGAGTTTCCTATATTTGAAGTTTGATTTTCTGTCACTTCTTTTAGAATATTTTTGGCAGTTATTTTGAAAAATATTTCTTTTGCTCCATTACTTTTCCCTCTTTTCTTTTTGGGATTTCAATCATAACTAGAGTAGGTAATTTCATCTCAGTCTTATGCAGGTACTTTTTCTCAGGGTCTCAGGAATGTAGCATTCTCACACTTCTGTTCTTTTCCTGGCTGTGTTGGTGAGCTCAGTGATATTCCTCCTTCACCTTCAAGAGCAGTTTTGTTTTGTTTTTCCTGTTTTCATACTCCCAGCATCAGGAGTATTCTAAGTGTGGCAGTTTTTCTTGCCTTCCCCTACATATTAAGTGTGATATCTTGGTCTGTTTGGACTCTTTTAACAAAATAACATAAACTGGGTGACTAAAAAACAGCAGATATTTCTTTTTTCACACCTCTTGAGGCTGTAAGATCTCAGGCCAAGATGCTCACAAATTCAGTGTTGATGAGAGCCAATTTCCTGGTTCATAGATGGTGCCTTCTTTCTATGTCCTCACATATTGGAAGGCACACAAGAACTCCATTGAGCTTCTTTTATAAAGGCACTAATCCCATTCATAAGGGCTCGGCCCCCAAGACCTGGTCACCTCCTAAGTGTTCTGCTCTCCCTGATCTGTGTCATATACAGACTCTCTTGGATTCCTTACCAATTGCTTGAGAGATCGCAGTGGGTTTGTGGGGAAAAAGTTTTCAAGATGATGGATCTTTCCCAACTTCTGCAGCTGTCAGCGGTCTCCCAATCTCACCAGCCCCACTTTGCTTTAGGAATTTATTGATTATTCCAGCTTTACTTGTCATAGTGGTGTCTATTTGCATCTGTCCTATGTAAGTGCATCTGTCCTCTTTCTCCTTGCAGGTGCTTGTTTTCCCTCACATTTTGACTCAGTTCTTGGCAACCTCGTTGCTATAAAAATAAAGTGATGACTTTGAAGTTAGTTTGGTTCTTTCATTGTTGTCAGGTTAGGAACCCTATTCCTTCCCAGATCTCCAAAACCCAGACTTTTTGGGGGTTTGAAATTTTAGGCTTTGTCTTTGAATTGTAGTTTTATCTTCTTTCAGCTACCATTTGCATTTTCATAATGATTAATGAGACTAAGCTTTTTTTGTGTAGTTGACTGTACCTTTGGATTTTTTTCCCAAATACCTTTTTATTTCTTCTTTTCTTTATGGTTTTAGAAAATGTAGTTTACATAATTGCAGCTTGATTTTTTACTCAGTTAATGGCATGCTTAATGGAGAGAAAAAATATTAAATATATTTCCCTTTTTAATTACTGTGCTTTTTCCTTTTTTAAGGAAATGCTTCATTATGTTAAATTTCAGTGTTATTCTACTTAGCTATTCCTTAAATATTATAGTATTTTGGATTTCACATGTAAATTTGTAACATATCTTGAGTTTATTATGTATAGAGTAAGGCTATTTTCTCTTTTTTGTTTTTTAAGGTAAAAATCACATAATACAAAAGTAATAACAACCATTTTAAAGCATACAATGCACTTGCTTTTAGTATATTCACCATGTTCCAGGGCAATTTCATCATGTCCCTTACAAAAACCCATTATGCATAAAGTGGTTACACCCTATTCTGCTTCCCTGAGCCCTAATGACCACTAATCTGATTTATATCCCAATTGATTTGCCAATTCCTGATGTTTCATGTGAATCAAATCAAGTAATATTTGTCCTTTTGTGCACTTAACATAATGCTTTCAAATTTCACCAATATTATACCATATATAAGTACTTCATTCTTCGTTATAGCTGAAAATTGGGTGTCCCTTTATGAGTCAACAAGCATATGGATTGTTTCCACTTTTTGACTGTATGAATATTACTGCTGTAAATATTCATGCACATGTTTATTTTCTGAGCACCTATGTTTTGTAAGATTAACAGCTGACTTAAGAGAAACAATGGAAGGCAAGAGGCAGTAGAATAATATATTCAAAAGATGCAAAGGAAAAAAACCTCTCAGCCACGAATTCCTTATCCAGCAATTATTTTTCAAAAATGAAAATAACACAAAGACTTAGCCAGATAAACAGAAACATTAACTGAAGTTGTTGCTGGCAGACCTACCATATAAAAAAAAAAAACTCTAAAAAAATTCCTAAGGCTAAAAGCAAGTTACAGAAGACAGTCACTTGAATCCACATTTTAAAAAAAGCACTGATATACGTAATATTGACATTATAAAAGACAGTAAAAATGCATTTCTTCTCTTTATAATAAATTGTTTATTAAATAACATGTGTATAATGGCCAGGCACGATGGCTCACACCTGTAATCTCAGCACTTTGAGAGGCCAAGGCGGGCTTATTACGAGGCCAGGAGATCGAGACCATCCTGGCTAACACAGTGAAACCCCGTTTCTACTAAAAATACAAAAAATGAGCCGGGCGTGATGGCGGACGCCTGTAGTCCCAGCTACTCGGGAGGCTGAAGCAGAAAAATGGCATGAAGCCGGGAGATGGAGCTTGCAGTGAGCGGAGATTGTGTCACTGCACTCCAGCCTGGGTGACAGGGAGACTCCGTCTCAATGATAATAATAATAATATGTGCATAATGTATTGCTGAGTATTTGACATGTAGAAATGTAATACGTCTATAACATATTTTCCAGTAACATCAAAAAGGAGGTAGTTGGAAGAAAAATGTATTGTGATAAGGTAATCACTCTAGATGGTAAAGTAATAATTACTAAAATGTATTGTTTGCTTTGTAACTTTAATAGATGTAATGTGTAAAGTGATAATACTTTAAAATGGAGGAAATAAAAATGATTTATATAAGAATGATGTTTCTATGTATTACTAAAAGTTTAATAGTATAAATTGGAAGATGATTTGAATAATTAATTTTCCATACACCTATATGGTAAACTTACAACAATAAAAAGTCTCAAAAATATATAATAAAATAATTCATTAGTAATCTAAAGTTCCCTATTTTAAAAAATATTCTTGCATTGCAAAATAAAGCAATAAAGAAAAATATTTGGAAATATATAAAACAAACGGTAAAATGGCAGACATAAATAGAATTATACCAATTATAATCTTAAATGTGAGCAGATTAAAATCCATTCCAGAGGCAGAGATTGTCAGACCGGATTAAAACAAGTGATCCCAATATACGCTGAGATGCAAGGATACTAACGGATTGAAAGTAAAAAGATGACAAAAAATATCCTACAAAGAGCAATCATAAGAACACTGAACTCATTATACTCATAACACACAATATAGACTATTAAAAATGTGAATAGGATTTTAAAAATTTATATTGTAGTAAAAAGGGGGTCAACGCTTTAGGAAGACATAGCTATTACAATCATGTATGCACAGATATGAGCTAAATTGTTTCCTCTATATAGATGCTGAAATTCTAACCACTGAATATGACCTCATTAGGAAATAGGTTATTTGCAGCTGATCAAGTTAAGATACAATCAGATGAGCCTGAATTCAATATGACTGATGTCCTTATTAAAAGAAGAAATTTGAGTAGAGGGAGACATACACACAGGGAGAGTACCATGTGATTATGAGGGCAGAGATTAGCCAAGGAATGCCAAAGACTGCCACTAAACCACCAGAAGCGAGAAACAAGGCACAGAACAGGCTTTCTCTCATAGCCCTTGAAGGGACCATCCCTGCTGACACCTCAATCTCAGACTTTTAGCTTCCAGGACTATAAGACTATAAATGTATGCTGTTCAAGGCACTCAGTTTGTGTTAGTTGGTTATGGCAGCCCTAGAAAACTAATACATGAACTAATAACAAAGCATAATAACATGAAGCAAAAATTGACAAAAGAGGAGCATCAGCAAAATGGCAGTGGAGACAGCTGCAATCTGTCATTTCCCCACAGAAACATCACACAACTAAGAGAAACTGTCCGAACAAACTTTGCCAAAACTCTGGAAAATGGTCAAAAGATTACAACAACCAAGTGAAAGCAGACTCAAGAAAAAGACAACTGGAAAACTTTACGACATTTTAAACTTGTCTTTGCCCCAGCAAATTGGCAGTTTTGAAGTGTCAGAAGCCCACGTTCCCAGTGAGGAAGCCTGGTCCATGGTCCAAAGGAACAAGAGAAGATCTTACCCGCAAGTTATTATGTGTCTGTTCTGACTGGTCTGGGGGATACCTAAAGGACTCATGAAAGGCTTTTTTTTCTGTGTTGCTTGAATACAGAACAGATAAGGAATGGACATTATTAAGAAACTCTGCAAGGAGACTTAACAAACCACAGATGCTTAGGGCAAAAATTAAAGTTTACGCATATAGTAGATCACCTTCAGCACAGTAAGAAAAGGTGGAGAAGCGTATTTCAAAAAAAGACACACAAAATCATTCACGTACATGGGAGAGTCTGGAAAGTCACATGTATTCATAGGTTAAGCCACATGCTGACAAATGTCATAAGAAGACCCTACACTTTCACCTTGGCCGATCCCTCCCCTCAGTGCAAGCTCTGTGCAAGAGTGAACTTGAACTTCACTCAGTGCAAGAGTGAACACACACTTTGTGCCGGCTTTAAAGAACCCAGCACAAAGCCAGTCTGCATGGCCTAGAGACATATTTTGCTGGACAATGATTACTTGTTTTCCTTTTTGTTTTTCTTGTATTTGCCTGTTTGATTGGTTCCTGACATACAAGAAAATCACTGTCAAAACATTAGCTTAACATTTGTTAAGGAAACAAAAAGACTTCGGTGACCACACCTTATAAAGCAAACAGTTTTGTAAATCACTTTGGAAAATTTCACTAAAAAAAAAAAAAATCCTTAACAATATAATAAGTAAAGAAAATTTAAAACCACAAAACATTACTGTGTTTGTAGGGGGTGTTCGATTTGCAGAGTAACCACTTAGTAATTATAGTTATTAGAATGTCCAGTTTTCAAAAAACGTTACAAGGCATACAAAGAATGGGAAAGTGTGGCTCATTCAAAGGAACAAAATAAATTGACAGAAAATATCCCTAAGGAAACCCAGACATCAAACTTACTAGACAAAGACTTTAAAACAACTCTCTTCATTATACTCAAATGTCAAAAGGAAAACATAATCAAAGAAATAAAGGAATCAGAAAAAAATATTAAAAAGCAGGAATATCAGCAAAGAGATAACAGAAATTCTGGAATGGAAAACTACAATGATAAAAATTTCAAAATCACCAGAGGGATTTAAGAGTCTATTTGCACACACAGAAGAAGCCATGAACTTGAAGAGAAGATAATGGAAAATACTGACTCTGAGAAACAGAAAGAATAAAAAATAAACAATGAGCAGAGACTAATGAATCTGTGGGACATCATCAAATAGACCAACATTCATATTCTAGAAGGATAAATTATGTTATTAAAAAGTTTACCCTTCTTTCTTTTCACCTTTCTTCCTTCCTCCTTCCCCCTCCTCTTTACTTTTCTTCCTCTTCCTTTGTCTTCTTCTTTCTCGCCTTCATTATCCCTTTCGCTGTTTCTCTTTCTCCCTTTCTCTTTTTTCTTTTCTTTCAATTTTCTCAATTACTAAGAGATGTTTAAGTACCCTTACCCTGTTAGTAGATACGGTTATTTCTCCCTTTAGTTCTCTTTTGAGATTTATAGTCACTCTAAGTAAAGAGATAACCCAAACATAAGCGTCACCAACAGGCTTTCATACCATTCTTAATTTGGTCCTGTAATTCTTCATTGCTGTATTAACTTTCTGATGCTTTTAAGGATGTTTTATAACAAATTGTTTAGTTTTTTCCACTGGAATGTTTATTCTGAATTATCTAATTCATATTGTAAGTATAGAGGGAGTTTAATATGAAATTATTAAACTAATATTTGTGAAAGAATGTATTTGTGCATTCAACAAATATGTTAATCATCAGACTGTTATTGGGCAGCTGAGCATACAGGAATAAAAATAACACAATTTTTATGTGCACAATATTTATGGAATGCGTTACTGGACCAAATAAATAATTTAGTTAATAACATGACAAAGAACAGAAATTGTATACACTATAGAGCATAGTAATGGAATAATGAATGATTAAAGTTATTAATATTAGGTAGAAAATGAAGGGTATCTTTGAGAGCAGAACTCAAGGAAGCAAGCAATTCACCTTATGAGGAAAGAGTTACCTGTGGATAAAGGAGAAACTGAAAAATTTACAAGTCAAGACTTTTTGAGCAAAAGCAAAAATATGACTATTAGTCACCAATTCAGTAGAGTGAAAAAAAAAGTTGAAGAGATATCTTGGAAGTAAACCATGTTGTGGAAGAGCATGTAGGGTTTTGATAATCATGGGATGATTCTGAATTAATTTTAAATGCGATAGGAATATATGAGATAATTTCACCAGAGAATAACATGATTGTGTTTGCATTTCAAAGGGGTGTATCTGGTGCACTGTGTAGAATAAATAGGTTATGTGAGCAAATAAATTGGGAGGCTACTCTAATCCAGAGAAAAAAGGTAGTGACTTAGGTGAGAATGCTGTCAGGATGAGTGGTAGTAGTGGTGAGAAGTCGTTAGGCCATGGATGTATTTCATAGGACTGGCCAAGAGAACTGCAGCTAAATTGGAGTGTAGGGAGTGAAATGGAGAACTCAAAGATGACTCTCAGCACTGGAAGGTGACAGCTGTCACTGAAGCATGCTGATGCCTCTTATTAAGAGAGTTACGTGGGAATGGCAAGATCAAAACTTCTCACTTTCAAATTTATGAAAAAATATTGTTTTCAGAACGAATGACTTTGGGATCAGAAAGCCACCATTCTAATTGATGGTTCCACGACTACACGGGCTCACACTCCCAAGAGCAAAAGTAAATCATCACAAAGGTGCTTCTTGATAATTCTAGAGAATGGAGAATTACTGTAACATCTTTCTGATTTTAGGAGAGGTAGCAGTTCCCTTTTTAGCCAAAACGCTATTTTTTTTTAAAGCTCAGCCAAGAGACTCCATTATAATTTTCAAATGTGTGTAACTTAAATTCTCATATGAAATACCACTATGCTTAAATTAGTCAAAACATTTTCCCCATCTACAACTCTATCTTGTCACTGCAATCATTTTCACAAGAGTGACTGCAGCTCACAGACCCTAAAAAGGAGAAAATCCAGGGTAGGTTATCTGATCTAGTTAGTTTCGAAGACAGGATCTAGAGATTATTTAATATGAAATAGGTCACCTGAAATGAAGTGTTTACTGAAAACAGCTTGGATCTGCCCAGTTTTCTACCACTGAACCATGCATTTGGTTTAAAAAACACAACAACTCTGGGGAATACCGGCTGCTTCCAACTGTGTTGAAGGTGTTAAAGAAAAGAGCATAAAATTAAAAATGATCATCTGAGGCCTTTATAGTCTCTGCTCAAGAGACAAGAGTCTTCCATTCTTAACAAAACACCCAAATATCTTAATAATTGGGCAAAATCTAAATATCAGAGATAATTTTATCTTGAAGATTGTTAAATTATAATGGTGATTCACTACCTCGCCACGTCTCTGAGTCAAAAATTAGGTTTTTGTTTAGGAATCAATGGTACTCTGCAACTTGGAAATAGGAAGATTTTAGAAGACTCAAACATTGACTTTCTTGTGTGCAAAAAAAAAAAGACGTATTGAGATAAGACAAGTCTTTCCTTGCAAGGATACCTCTAATGCTCATACACCACCTCCCCTAACATTAATACAGCTTCCAGGTCACTAACCAGTGTCAGAGAGCAGCCCATGCAACTAGAAATTCAAAAGATGTCGAACATAGGGTCAAGCCTAGAATAAGAAGTCTTAGCTAATTAAGTATGCTTTTTTCCTGAAATTCATATTAACAAAAACTTGGATATGTCAGAGAATGCATTCTAAGTTCACTCAACCTAGGAGGGAGAAACATAATTTTAAATTAAGAGCTGAAGCATTCTTGTCCTAACAGAAAGCAAGGAAAACGAAATATCACACCACAGGAGGGATTTCACAAATTAGTGTCAACATCAAAACCTTAAAATAGGCAAGGAGAATGCAGATTCACAATGAACTCCTGTACTTGTTTTGTTCAGAGAAGAGATGGTTCTGAGAGAACGACAGTGAACCAACCCCAGCTGGTTTAGTTGGTGCTTTCAACTGCTGCTTCTGATCAACTCCTTTAGCTAGAATAAATTGATGAGGATTTTGGCTTGTGGTATTAGAGATAGTTATTAATTTTTTCCTCTTATTTGCATTGTTCAATGTAGTAAATACTAGCTGCTACTTCAATTCAAATTAATTACAATGAAATATACTTAAATGTTGAATTTTTTAGTCACTGTTGGTTCATTATTGAATATCTTCAGCTAAGATTTCCCATCTAAATACACTTAAGAGGTGGCTTAGTTAACTGGTCGTCCACAAATATTGAAGCTGTTGTTAACTCCTGATATATTCTCTGAAAAGAGAATATTCATGAGCCTCCTCCTGAAATCAGCAGCCTAGAGATAGTTTTATAAATTGGATACAAGTTGGAAATCTATATACTCTTTCAGTTTTTGAAATATTAGCTTCCCAGGGAAGAAAATCAAATTCATAAGATATGTTAGGACAATTTAACTCAAGATGTTCAAAACTGAAATGACATGTTCTACAATATGTGATAAAACCAACCCCTAACAACTTAAAGCAAAACAGGGATTGACCTTAAAGACCTGCCTTTTCCTCATGCCCCAGCCAATCAGTTTTCAAATCTTGCATTTTATTTTGAAAGGTCCTTATCCCCCTGGTCTCTTGTTTCTAGACTTCGCACATATTTAAGTTTGTTACCTCTACTGTCTTTCCTCTTTTCAAACAGTATCTATGCCTGCCAAATGTGAACATACAAAAAACAAATCAGAATATGCCATTCTGATTTAAACTGCTTATTAGTTAATACCCTCAAGATAACATCTGGGTTCTTAGCTGCAATGAGTCAAGCTTACATCTTTTTTTGTCTTTGGCTGCACATTTCCTATCACATCACACTCCAGCAATACCAAGCTGTGCCGTCCTTCTACCCCATCTCCACTATTTTGCCCCCATCCGCCGCGGCTTTTTCCCCCCCACCCCGCCTCAGCTTTTTGCCCGCCACGGATTTCTGTCCCCCGCCGCCGCGACTTTTTGCCCGCCGCGGCTTTTTACCCCCCGCCGCCGTGGCTTTTTGCCCCACTGCCGCCGCGGCTTTTTGCCCCCCACCCCGCCTCGGCTTTTTGCCCGCCGCGGCTTTGTTGTGACCCCCCTCGCCACCGCGGCTTTATGTCCCCCCGCCGCCGCGGCTTTTTGCCCGCCGCGGGCTTTTGCCCCCCGCCGCCGTGGCTTTTTCCCCACGGCGGTTTTTTGCACCCCCCCGCCCCCCGCCGCCTCGGGTTTATGCCCACCGCGGCTTTTTGCACCCCGCCGCCGCAGCTTTTTGTCCACCGCGGCTTTTGCGCCCCCGCCGCCGCGGCTTTTTGTTGCCGCGGCTTTTTACCCGCTCCAGCTTTTTGCCCCACTGCCGCCGCGGGGTTTTGCCCGCCCCGGCTTTTTGCCCACCCCCGGCTTTTTGCCCCCCCGCCGCCGCGGCTTTTTGCCCCCCCCCTGGCCGCTTTTTGTTCCCCGCCGCCACGGCTTTTTGCCCCCCCCGCCGCCGCGGCTTTTTGACCCCAACGCCGCGGCTTTTTCCCCCACGCCGCCGCGCCTTTCTGCCCGCCACGGCTTTTTTCCCCCCCGCCGCCGTGGCTTTTTGCCCAACCCGGCTTTTTGCCCGACTCGGCTTTTTAACCCCCCTGCCGGTGCCGCACTTATTTGCCCGCAGCGGCTTTTTGCACCCCCGCCGCCGCGGCTTTTTGTCCCCCCGCCGCGGGTTTTTTGCCCCCCCACGCGGCCGCGGCTTTTTGTCCCCCGCCGCCGCGGCTTTCTGCGCGCTGCGGCTTTTTGCACCCCGCCCCCACGGCTTTCTGCCCACCGCGGCTTTTTGCCAGACCCGGCTTTTTGATCCCCCGCCGCCGCGGCTTTTTGCCCCCCCGCCACCGCGGCTTTTTGCCCGCTGCGGGTTTTTACCCCACGCCGCCGCAGCTTTTTGCCGGACCCGGCTTTTTGCTCCCCCGCCGCCGCCGCCGCCGCCGCCCCGGTGCCGCGGTTATTTGCCCGTCGCGGCTTTTTGCCCCCTGCTGCCGCGACTTTTTGCTCGACCCGGCTTTTTGCCCCCCGACGTCGCGGCTTTTTGCCCCCCGCCGCCGCGGCTTTTTCACCCCCTCCGCCGCGGCTTTTTGCCCGCTCCGGCTTTTTGCCCCCCGCCTCCACGGCTTTCTGCCGCCGCGGCTTTTTTTGCCTCCGCGACTTTTTTCCCGACCTTTTTGCCCCCCCGCCGCCGTGGCTTTTTGCCCGTCGCGGCTTTTTCACCCCCGCCGCCGCGGATTTTTCCCCCCTGCCGACGCGGCTTTTTGCCCGCCCCGGCTTTTTGCCACCCCCCGCCCCCTGCCGCCGCGGTTTTTTGCCGGACGCGGGTTTTTGCCCCCCGCCCCCAGGACTTTCTGCCCGCCGCGGCTTTTTGCCCCCTGCCGCCGCGGCTTTTTTTGCCTCCGCGGCTTTTTGCCCGACCCGGCTTTTTGCCCCCCCGGCCGCTGTGGCTTTTTGCCGCCGCGGCTTTTTGCCACCCCGCCGCCATGGCTTTTTCTCGCCGCGGCTTTTTGCCCGCCGCGGCTTTTTGCCAACCGAGGCTTTTTATCCTACGCCGCCGCGGCTTTTTCCCCGACCCGGCTTTTTGCTCCCCCGCCGCCGCGACTTTTTCACCCCCGCCGCCGTGGCTTTTTGCCGCCCAGGTGCCGCGGTTATTTGCCCGTCGCGGCTTTTTGCACCCCCGTCGCCGCGGCTTTTTGCCCCCTGCTGCCGGCTTTTTGCTCGACCCGGCTTTTTGCCCCCCCCCCCCCACCGCCACGGCTTTTTCACCCCCGCCGCCGCGGCTTTTTGCCCTCCCGGTGCCGCGGTTATTTGCCCCCCCCCGGTGCCGCGGTTATTTGCCCGTCGCGGCTTTTTGCATCCCCGTCGCCGCGGCTTTTTGCCCCCCTGCCGCCGCGGCTTTTTGCCTCCGCAGCTTTTTGCATCCCCGCCGCCGCCGTGGTTTTTTGTTGCCGCGGCTTTTTCCCCCCGCCGCCGCGGCTTGTTGCCGGCTGCGGCTTTTTGCCCCCCCCCCCCGCCACTGTGGCTTTTTGCCCCCCCCCCCGCCACTGTGGCTTTTTGCCCCCCCACTCCCCCCCGCCACTGTGGCTTTTTGCGTCTTTGTGCCCCCGCCGCCCTGGCTTTTTGCCCGCGCCACCACTGCTTTTTGCACCTTTTTGCCCCCGCCGCCGCGGCTATTTGCCCCCCGCCGCCGCGACGTTATATGGTTTTTTGCTCCCACTGCTTTTTGCCTCCGCCGCCGCGGCTTTTTGCCCCCCCACCACCGCAGCTTTTTGCGCGTCTCGGCTTTTTGCCCCATGGCCATCGTCAGAAGTGTGAGTGGAACAGAGGGAAGGGAAAGCTGTTTTCTTCGAAAGCTCAAAAATCTTCAACTTTTAAATAGGGATAAGTGTTATTTTTGCTCCAAGCACACATTTGAGAAATCTTCCATTTAGCGGATCTGATGATAAACCCACATTTTTGTTTGTTTTAATCTGAAAATGTATTTGTATGGTTCTTGGAAATATTTTTTTCATATAAAATTATAGTTTATCAGCTTATTTCAAGTTTTATTTACCATTTGATAATTACTCCTAAAATGTCATTGATTAAAGAAAGAATCATCTATTGCTCCAACTGCTCTTTACTAAAGGTAATTTGTCTTTTTAACCTCATCAGGCTCCTTTTAAGCTCTCAAACTGACCTTATTTTTTTTTTTACAGATTCAATGCATTAAGTCAATTTATTATTTATGATGAATTTATTTATGTATTTATTTTCGCTATCACAAGTAGAAAAAGCCTATAAGTTGCTATGCCAAAAACCTGCCTCTAGATGGCAAACAAACCCCGCAATACACAAAAGAGAGCCAAATTCTTAGAAACCCTGGGAAAGGAAGAGGGCTACTGTCCCATTAACAACTTGGAGCCCTTAAGGCAAGAATGAGGTGGAACATCTGGAACATCTGGGAGGAGACACAAGGGTGCGGAGTAGTGGGGAACCTGCTCTGTGCTCTGAGACTGAAAGCCCAGCCTTGCCTCTCACCGCTGCCTTGACTGTGTCCCCATCTGCTGTGAAGTGAATGGTGTCTTCTAAATTCGTGCTGAGCCCTAATTGCTGAAAAGTGTTAAGACATGCAATGGGGGGATTATGTGCATCTTCCCGACACCAACATGATGCTCAGGAAGGAGACTTCTTGTTTTCTCTTAGGATTCTTTTACTAACCAAGATTTTGCCTCTACTGCATATTTCCCTTTGCTGATTGTCCCTCCCTTTTGACAGAAGATGGCCCAGGGCATTCACTACTAAGTCTCAACCTCTTACCCAAAGCCCTCAGTCTAGTGTTGCTCTTTCCTTCATGCTATTTTTGTTTCTTTCTTTTCTTGTAATCATCTTGGCAATAAAATAATCAGTTTTTTCTTTCTACCTATTAAAGATGTTACCTTAGTTAATTACAGTGGTTTCCTTCAGAATGATAAGTGGTCTTTCAAAATGATGTAAAGAGATCTAAATCCGTGTGCTCCAGAAGTTGAATGAAGCTCTGTCTAGCACGGGTGCCAGTGACTCTCCCAGAGTGCTCCATGCAGCTGGACCCACAGAGTCCCTCTGTGCTGTCATACCACCCACTGCCTTCTGTGAATGAGATATTCTGATTAGAATCCTGGTGGATGCTATTTGAGCCAGTGCCCCCACAACTCCTATGAAAGCCAAGGACCACAGGCCCCTGAAGACAATCACAGGTCTCTAGACTCACAGCTCATGACCGTCCTCTGCAGACACAGCTTCTCCTCGGATGGCTGAGGGTTGTCATTGGCTGTGTCCTTCCTTGTGCATGACAACAGGAGACATAGAAGGTCTGTAAGCAGCCCTGCAAGCCAGGTTCTGAGCAAGCCCTCCTGTGTGGGGCCCTCTTACCTGGACATAGGTGTGTAAACCAAAAATGAAACTCTAAGCTCCCTAACCAACTGAATGAACTCCTCCTCTCAGCCAAGCACACACCAAAATCAACCTGAAATACAATGCAGCCCATGATCGGAACGGATGATTGGATATGCCTTAACTTACCCTCTTCCCTTTAAAATTCAGGCACAACTGACCAGCTTTTAATATGAAGACAGAGACCTTGAGACTGACAAAGAAAACTCTTTATAGCAATAAGATACCAATGTGACAGATACCACGTCCTAAGAGAAATCAAAGTATTTTCCCCAAGATATTGTTATTTAATGTATTTAAAAATGCCTCTGCAAAGCTGGTTCTTGTGGGAAAAATCTACATTCTGTAGAGACTCCTTTTTAAGTCTCTTTCCTGACCCAGAGAGATTTAACTAAGAGTTTGGCACCTTTTAAGTCTGCTAAGAAACAATTACAATCTATTCTCTCTGAAGCCTGCTACCTGGAGGCTCCATCTGCATGATGCAACCTTGGCTCCAAAACCCTTTTTCTAAACCCAGAAACTCCCTTGTGTTGATTACAGGTCATTAGATCAACTCTTTCAACCACCTATGAAATCTTTGAATCCACCTAGGACCTGGAAGTCCCCAACATCCCCCCTCCTTCGGGCTGTCCTGCCTTTTCATATCAAAGCAATGTACAACTTACACGTATTGATTGATATCTTATGTCTCCCTAAAACGTGTAAAACCAACCTGTAGCCCGACGACCTTTGACACACGTTCTCAAGACCTCCTGAGGCTGTTTCACTGATATTTCTTTAACTTTGACCAAATAAATTTCTAAACTGATTGAGACTTTTCTCAGATACTTATTTGTTTATAGGTATCACTGGATACACTTAAGGAATTGAAGAGATTTATGACATTGAGAAAAGGAGGAAGCCAGGGTGTGTGGACATTGAGAGAGAGAGAGAGAGAGAGAGAGAGAGAGAGATTGTGATGTATGTACAGGACTAACACTGAGACCTGGTTATGTAATGGTGTAGTACTGAGTATCATCCCCAAATAGTGAGGTTTCATTCCATGAAGACTATGCATGTATCTCATTTGGGAAAACAGCTTTTGCAGGTGTAAATTAAGGAGCTTGAAACAGGGAGATGGTCTTAGATTAATCAACTGGGACTTAAATGCAAACTCAAGTGTCCTAAAAAAAACAAGAGGTAGAGAGAGATTTAGCATAGACTGAAGTGGAGAAGGCAGTGTGAACACAGAGACAGAGATTGCAGTGATGTGTCCACATCCCGGGAGAGAGAAGCCACCAGAAGCTGGAAGAGCTAAATCAGACTGCTCCCTAGAGCTTCAGAAGGAGCCAGAACTGATGACTCCAAGATCTTAGCCCAGTGAAACTGATCTGGACTTCTGAACTATGAGAGATTCCATTCCTGTTGTGTGAAGCTACCACATTTTTGAGAACTTTTTACAGTAGCCCGAGGACACTAACACAAATGGGGCTCCGGGAAAATCCAGACTAAAGGTGTTGTGTTGGTTTGCAATCTCCTTGCTTAACTTTCTGATACTAGACGTAAATAGATTGGTGAAACATTTTGTGATTGAAAAAATGTACATGAAACCTACAGTGTACAGAGAAGCATCTGTTAGTTATAAGATAAATATTGATAATTTTAGTTGAAAATGACATATGACTGTTAATATCTCACATAACATTCTGAGTTACTCAAGAATGCATAAAAGAGGCACTAGATACTCTTCTCATGTATGTGTGTGTGTCTGTCTATACATGTATGTACACTTCATGGTGCATCAGCTGGCGGAACCCTCAGGACACCCCTTCACATCCTCAGTGCCCCATTTCACACATGAGGAAACTGTTCATGACAGCACATGGCTGATTTGCATAAAAGTCACTTGGTCAGCAGTTGTCGAAGCTGAACTTGGAATCTAGGTCTGTCTGACCTTAACTTATGTTCCTTCCACAGAACCACGTTCATTCCATAGAGGGACCCACCACCTATAAAACCGGAAAAGAGACAAAGCCAGAAGTGCAGGGTGGATTTCTTAACACAAGCTCACTGCGACCTCTAGTCCTCATCACGCTGACACTAAGCTTAAACCCAGACCCTTCTACAGTTTTGTCTACAAAGCACAATTTGCCCAAAGCCTTTACAAACACCAACAGCCTTTCTTTCAGATATGGCAGCAGGGTCACATCTTACACGGCCCTGACCACATTTTGTCTCCTCTGCCATCCCCATCTCTCTGACTCAGTCCTCGCTTGCAGCCATAAAAAAGGATGAGTTCATGTCCTTTGTAGGGACATGGATGAAGCTGGAAACCATCATTCTCAGCAAACTATCGCAAGGACAAAAAACCAATCACTGCATGTTCTCACTCATAGGTGGGAATTGAACAATGAGAACACGTGGACACAGGAAGGGGAATATCACACACCGGGGACTGTTGTGGGGTGTGGGGAGGGGGGAGGGATAGCATTAGGAGATATACCTAATGTAAATGACGAGTTAATGGGTGCAGCGCACCAACATGGCACATGTATACATATGTAACAAACCTGCATGTTGTGCACATGTAACCTAGAACTTAACAATAATAATAATAATAAAAAGAATGGGTCTTGTACATCCAATTTGCCCTATGAATGTTAAAACAGCAAACCCGCATCCCCTTCCTCTTCTCATGTGCTGTGAGAGATGACCTCCAGGCTCTCAGATACCAAGATTGTACAAGACCTAACCCAGAGAATTACTCAAGACACTTTCTACGTAAGAAGAATTGTGGTACTAGCTCTCCTCATAGAAAAATGTTTTCTGTCTCTTGTTGAAATTGACAGCAAACACAAAAACACAGAACTATTTGGGAGAACAGAGGACAGTGATACACTAGGGAAGTAAAACACACCCCTTCCCCTTGCATTGGTTTCCTGTTGCTGCTGTAACAAATTACCACAACTTTACTACTCCACATAACACAAGTGTATTATCTTACATTTCTGGAGGTCAGAAGTCTCAATGAAGTAAAATCAAGGAGTAATAGGGCTCTATTCATTCTAGGCTTCAAGAGAGAGAATCCAATGTCGAGCATTCCATCTTTCTGATGTTCCCACATTCCTAGCAGCATGGCCCCTTCCTCCATCACTCCAGTTTCCCTGTCCGTTGTCCCAGGTCCTCTCTGGCTGTTACCTTCCTCCCTCCCTATTGTAAGGACCCTTGTGATTATGATGGTCTCACCCAGATAATTCAGGATACTCTCCTGACCTCAAAATTCTCAACCACGTCTGCCAAGTTATTTTTGACTTGTTCATAAGTAATGATCATAGATTCCAGATATTAGGACAATGATGTCTTTAGTGGGTGTATTATTCATTCCACAAACAACTCTCATCATCCACACAATGGCCTTCCCCTAAGGTAGAATAAAAATATCACAAGGCAGATTTATGAGGCGATCGACCTAGAAAAAACCTGAGACTCGAGGACTGTCTGATGTGTGGATGTCAAATCCTGGGAGATTCTGAGCCTCTGCTCTATGTGGACTCTATGTTGTGTAGCCATTTGTGGAAGGCTTCTGTGATTTTGTGACCTAGAGAAAATGAATCTCTGCTAAAATCAAATCTAAGAAAGATTGGCAAAGGGAATTTAAAGATTTCCTAAATTTTTGGAATTTCCCTAGGCATTAAAACATGAGAAGTGGCAATAATTCAAACCAACGATGCCCTCCAAGAATGAGGATTTTTCCAATGCATTAGGTTGGGTCCCCTCAGTGAGAAGGATGCCAAAGATTCGCATGCAGGCAGTATATTTACAAAGTGCGGGAAACAAGCAAGTGAGCAAGGGAGGGGAGGAGGGAAAGGGAAAGTGAAAAGTGCCTCAGAAGGAGCCACCTCTGAGGATGACGAGAGCTCAAGCCCACATAGAAACACAGGAAAAATGTCTCTGTTATTCCACCTGAGAGGTGAGGGAGCTGGGGGATGTGTACACCTCCCTTGTCATCACTGATTGACAACCGTCCTAGGGGATGCTAATTCCAGGCCATGAGGTCTGCCTCATTTGCAGCCTGAGCTGCCTCCCCAGGTTCAGATAGAGCAGTGAAGGGGAGAAAGGGCCATAGAGAGTCAGCTGAAGTATAATGTCTAGAATCCCCAAGGCATAGTAACAATGACTGCTAAAATTATGCACAAAGAAAAAGTGCATTTGAATCCAGAGATGTATCTCTCTGAATCTGGATATATGGATCCTGGCAGCCTGTTCGGTAGCCATTTCCCAGAAATCCAGTCCTCTGGAAAAGCAGGAGGAGGTTTGTGCATAGGCTGCACTACCTTGGTCTGGCCATGGGTAGTCGTGCATGAGAACTACTCCCTGGAGTATTTCTCAGTCCACTGACACTGATGTAATTGGCTCCACTTCCCCTGCTGTTGAGCCAGGCCGACACGCCCTGGGCAAAGGCATCTGTGTGAAGTATTGAGGTGCAAATCAGTGCTTAAGATATGTTTGGATGCAAAACACTTTTTCATCTACATGGGCAGTGTCTTGGCAGAAGATGGAGATTCTCTCTAAATGCATGTGAGACAGGGTGGCTGGCATCTGGGTCAGGATGATGCCCTGGTGCATGGCAAGAACATGCCTTGTGCAGCAGCTGCCCTCGCTAAGGAGAGAGGCTCACTGACCTGGCTTTTCCCCCTCACCTGCTCTCCAGAAAGCCAGACTCTAGGGCAGATGCTCCTGAGACCCCAGGAACAGGCTGGTGGGGAGCGCAGCTCAGAGCATTACTCAGGGGATGTGGCCTTTGTCATCCTACTTTGAAACAATTGACTATTTGAGCCTAGATTGATACAGGGCTTCAAGTTGATTTTAATCCAGGCTCCTATAGTCAGCGAGTGAAACAGAGATTTTAGTTGAAATAATGAGACCTGGTGTTACTAGTCAGCTCTCCATGCTGGAGAACCATAAGAAATTATACCAAAGGCAGGAAAGGGGATAGAATATGGGGATCATCACGCCAAGAATAAGGTGCAGCCCATTTAGCCCCTGGGTCTTAAAGAGACCCATAGCTCTGGATAATGGCAGATCTATGCGTGACACAGTTATCATCTTTGTGCATCTTCAGAGAATTGTTTTTCCTTTTACTCCTAGGGACAATGTCTTAAGTTTGTTAGTAAATTCTATTGAATTTATTAAAGATGCTTCTGATAAATTCTTTTTATATTCATTTCAAACAAGAAGCAATTTCACACTGACATTGTTATTATAGCACTAAATACTTTTACACTCATCAAATTCCTTTGAGACTAACTGAAATTTCTGACAGCCCCACATTCTACAACTTTATTGTAAATTTTCTGCCAAAAATGATGCTTTCCTATACACTCCTAATACAAGTATAAATATATTATTTAATCTAGTCTTAGGTTGATTTAAAATTTTGAAAATTCACTCCAAAAATATGTTCTGTAACCATATGGCCACCAATGAGAAATGCATTCTTTCAAGGTAAATCTGTGCTGCCCTGGTTTGACCTGGGACTCTGGGGATACTGCGCCCCTGTGCTGAGTTACTGAGATGAGCCAGCCCTGCAGCTGTGCTCAGCCTGCCCCATCCCCTGCTGATTTGCCTGTTCCTAGAGCACAGCCCCCTGCCCTGAAGACTTTTTATAGGCTGGTCACACCCGGAGCAGGAGTCAGCCCCAGTCAGGACACAGCACAGACATGAGGGCCCCCACTCAGCTCCTGGGGCTCCTGGTGCTCTGGCTGCCAGGTAAGGAAGGAGAACACTAGGATTATACTCGGTCAGTGTGCTCA
Source organism: Homo sapiens (assembly GCF_000001405.40). Taxonomy (NCBI): domain Eukaryota; kingdom Metazoa; phylum Chordata; class Mammalia; order Primates; family Hominidae; genus Homo; species Homo sapiens. Next base: position 91,486,882 of record NC_000002.12, read on the forward strand.
GTACTGTCTGGAACTTCAGGGAAGTCCTCTGATAACATGATTAATTGCAACAATATTTGTTTTTATGTTTCCAACTTCAGGTGCCAGATGTGACATCCAGATGACCCAGTCTCCATCCTCCCTGTCTGCATCTGTAGGAGACAGAGTCACCATCACTTGCCGGGCGAGTCAGGGCATTAGCAATAATTTAAATTGGTATCAGCAGAAACCAGGGAAAACTCCTAAGCTCCTGATCTATGCTGCACCCAGTCTGCAAAGTGGGATTCCCTCTCGGTTCAGTGACAGTGGATCTGGGGCAGATTACACTCTCACCATCCGCAGCCTGCAGCCTGAAGATTTTGCAACTTATTACTGTCAACAGAGTGACAGTACCCCTCCCACAGCGTTACAAGTCATAACATAATCCCCAAGGAAGCAGATGTGTGAGGCTGGGCTGCCCCAATGCTCCTTCTGGTGCCTCTATCTGCTGAGGGAAGTTCTCAAACTCAGTCAGGTTTGGAAAGTCATTGGGAGATTTTCCTAGAGGAGGCCAGGGAGGTTCCTCTGAACCCTAAGCCTCTTTCACCCTCATCCCCAGCAGAAAAGATGTGACAATGCCTGTCCTGACTGAATAAAGAAGAGAGATAAGTCCAACTGAGGAGTCTGTGTTATGGGATAATCGGAATTTGTACAGCAAAAGAGAAGCTATTCTCAGTATTTCAAGGAGAAATTATTCAAGTTGAATAAATTAGAGCCTAAACCACAGTCTTTCCGAAGCCTATGGAATGTTATTCATGAAGCAGGTACTAGACACAGGGGATTCTCAGGTGCTACTTCAGAAGCCAGGGTGCACCTGCCCCTGGTGGTATGTGCTGAACACCGTGTGATGATCCTCAGGCCTGTCTGGGAAGCCCAGGTCTTCCTGTAGAAAGCCCAGGTCCCTGTAGAAAGGTAATCTGGGCCTGAGTAGGGGAAAGACAGACAAAATTCAGTTTAGACCAAAAAAAAACCAGTTTTTTTTAACTCAGTAAAGAACCTTTGGAAGTTAGAACAATTAGATGCAAAAATATTTCCTTTACACATTTCTCACAAAGCATGTAGAAATATAAAAATGCACTGACTGCAAGGGGGAAAAAGGATTTAAGTTAAAAAGGGCGGGGGGACATCTAAATGCATTGTACTTCAGGGTAGGGATTTTACAACACATAGTCCACATCATTTAAGAGTCTACAATATAAAACAACTAATACTGCCGGGTGCGGTGGCTCACACCTGTAATCCCAGCACTTTGGGAGGCTGAGGCAGGTGGATCACTTGAGGTCAAGAGTTCGAGACCAGCCTGACCAACATGGTGAAACCCTGTCTCTACTAAAAATACAAAAATTAGCCGGGCATGATGGCACCTATAATCCCAGCTACTCGGGAGGCTGAGGCAGAAGAATTGCTTGAACCCAGGAGGCAGGGGTTGCAGTGAGCCGAGATTGCGCCACTGCACTCCATCCTGGGTAACAGAGTGAGACTCCATATTAAAAAATAAAACAACTAATATTAATACAAACAAATGCAAGGTGTACAGTACAGTTTGCTAAAGCGTTTGTCTTTTTGCCATCAACAAGATCTTTTTATAAAGCAGGAAGGGTTAAAGTAAAATCAGTTCTTATATTCCCCTTGCACAAGCTTCATCATATATTTAAATTTTATGACAGATTCCTTAAGTGACTTTATTTTGGACCTCCCCTACAAAAAATAAATTGCTCCCTTTTCTCAATCCCCACCATTTTTCTCACCCACCTTGACATGTAATCCATAGAAAAAAGAAAGTGAAAGTTGGGAAAAGGAAAATTAGAGACAATGGCCTTCTGCCCATTCCTGCCCCCCACCCCAAGGAATTACTAAAACCCTACATTTGAACATGAAACAAACTGTAAACAACTTTTAAAGTCAGTAAAACAGATGGGCTAGGAAAGAGTAGCTCTCCAGAATATTAAGAGAACATTTACAACTGAAATACTATCTTTCACATAAGAAATTGAAACTATGTCACAAACACTAACTTGTTAAAGTGACTCATAATACCTCTTAAAAGTCACAAGGGCCTCAAAACTAGCTATAAATTTCACTATTCTCACATATACCACCACCCCCGTCTTTTATACTGACCCACTAAGACAGGTAACAATGTTATTTATGTATCTACAGTGCTTTCCATTAAGTGAGCAAGAACTTTACATTTAAGGATGACCTTGCCACATCCCTAAGGAATTGTGAGGATTGTGCAACTCAGGTTTAGCAAGTGAGCCATTAAACTTAATTCTCATTCAAACTTAGTTTGAATGACCTTTGTTTCTATTCTGTACCACAAGAAACATAAAATCCAACTTATCTAGTCTCTTATAACTTTCAAAATATAGGTAGTGTTGAGCTTTTCTTTTCATTTCAATATGCTCTTAAATTTTACATTACAATTAAAGGAAGGATTACATTTATCTTACTGAAATAAAAGTGGTCTGAAAATCCCAATTCAATTGTTTTCAGAGGAAAAGGCATCAAATATCCACAAGACTCTTTTGAAATTATATATTCTGCAGTGGGATAATTATGTTACCTAACCAGAATAGTAATGACACATGCATTTAAAGCTGATAAAAATGAAAGTCTTGTCAAAAGGAAGTGACAGCCCAACTTGTCAGGCCAAACATGCTTTGGCATAGAACTTTATATGCTCTTTAAAATGATTTTAATAAAAATAATAAGCTAATCAATGCAATCAAACTTTGAAGGTAATAACAATATCAATTATCAATTTTGTCCTCTCGATACTCCTTGGCTAGTTTTGCATTTCTGCTAACATCATTGGCCCTGGATGATTCTGAAACTTCAGCCTACAATACCGTAAAGTCTTTACTGTATATGTTCAACTTCAAGCATAAGAGAAGTTACAATTAAAAGTATAATCAGAGGCTGGGCACAGTGGCTCAGTCCTGTAATTACAGCACTTTGGGAGGCCGAGGTGGGAGGATAACTTGAGCTCAGGAGTTTGAGCCTAGCCTGTGCAACATAGCGAGACCACTTCCCTACAAATAATTTAAAAAATCAGCCAGACATGGTGGCATGTGTCTGTGGTCCCAGCTACTTGGGAGGCTGAGACAGGAGAATCACCTCAGCCCAGGAGGCCAAGGCTGCAGTGAGCAGTGATCACACCACCACACTCTAACATGGGTGACAGAGTGAGACCTTGTCTCAAAAAAAAAAAAAAAAAAAAAAAGGGGGTGGGGGGTGGGTGGCGGGGTGGTAATCAGGGCCAGGCATGGTAGCTAATGCCTGTAGTCCCAGAACTTTGGGAGACTGAGGTGAGAGGATTGCTTGAGGCTGGAGTTTGAGACCATCCTGGCCAACATGCCAAGACGGCTCATAAAAATATTAAAAATATAAAAAATAAAGTACAATCAGATTTCTCCTTTTCCATCAGATGGATAAAGTTCAGTAACTTAATAATATGGTAGAAAACAGACATTTATATGTTAGCTGTGGTGATATAAACCAGTTTCACTTTATAGAGGACAACTGGTAATATCTGTCAAGTTTATAAATGCATATACCCTTTAACTCAGCAATTTTAGAATGTTATCCTTCAAATATATATTTGTACATACATGAAATTATATAATACATTACTGATAAAACACAGACAAGAATATGTATACAACCCAAATGACCACCTAAAGGAGACTGGTTAAATAAATGAGTATAATTGAAAGAAAATTAGGACCTGAACTAAGACCTTTGAGAAAAGAGTAAAAGACTATGAGAATAATGTCAATCTTTTACCTTTTTTTCTCTAGAAAACTAAGACATTAGAAACAAAAAGTCTTAAAACACATTCCTACATAAAAAAAAGAATTCCTTCTGTAAAACGACCTCAGTCGAAAACATAATAATTGGTATAAATTCTTACTCTTTTAAAATAAAGATTAAATTCCAGCTAAAAATTCTCCAGATATGGCAGTATATTGCTCTTTGAATTGAACTGAGGAAGGGCGAGGGTGAGAGACATAAAAGATGAAAACAGTGAAAGGAAGAAATAAAGGGAAGGGAAAAAGTAAAAAGAAAAAGAGGAAAATAGGTCGGACACAGGGGCTCACACCTGTAATCCCAGAACTTTGGGAGGCTGAGGCGGGGGGATCACCTGAGGTCAGGAGTTCGAGACCAGCCTGGCCAACACAGTGAAACCCTGTCTCCACTAAACATACAAAAATCAGCCAGGCACTGTATTCGCAGCTACTCGGAAGGCTGAGACAGAAGAATTACTCAAACCCGGGAGACGGAGGTTGCAGTGTGCAGAGATCGCACCACTGCACTCCAGCCTGGGCGACACGGTGAGATTCCATCTTTAAAAAAAAAAAAAAAAGGCAGGGCGTGGTGGCTCACCCCTGTAATCCTAGCACTTTGGGAGGCCGAGGCGGGTGGATCACGAGGTCAAGAGTTCAAGACCAGCCTGGCCAAGATGGTGAAACCCCATCTCTACTAAAAATACAAAAAAAAATTAGCCGGGCGTGGTGGCAGGTGCCTGTAATCCCAGCTACTTGAGAGGCTGAGGCAGAGAACTGCTTGAACCCAGGAGGTGGAGGTTGCAGTGAGCCGAGACCACACCACTGCACTCCAGCCTGGGCAACAGAGTGAGACTCCGTCTCAAAAAGAAAAAAAATAAGTGTTATGAATAAATATGTTTAAAAACTTACAAATCATCAACTGCCATTTATCAGTACAACTAAACTTAATGATAACAGGATATATTTCTGGAGAAGAAAACTTTGGAATTATTTTCAAGGAAAATGAATGTTGAACTTCCATGATACTTTATGTGTATTTTTCACAGTATAGAAAATTAGATATTCACTTCCTAACCATCATAAACAAAAAAGATAAAAATAATAGAAGGAAGATATTTTACTATTTAAGTCTGCATGACAGAAAGAAAATTTATTTTTTTATTTAATTTTTTATTTTATATATTTATTTTTTTTGAGATGGAGTCTCACTCTGTTGCCCAGGCTGGAGTGCAGTGGCACCATCTCAGCTCACTGCAAGCTCCGCTTCCCGGGTTCATGCCATCCTCTTGCCTCAGCCTCCTGAGTAGCTGGGACTACAGGCGCCCGCCACTGCACCCAGCTAATTTTTTGTATTTTTAGTAGAGACGGGGTTTTACCGTGGTCTCAATCTCCTGACCTCGTGATCCGCCCGCCCCGGCCTCCCAAAATGCTGGGATTACAGGTGTGAGCCACCGTGCCCAGCTGAAAATTTATTTTTATATTATTTTCAATTCTAATTTGTCAAAAGGATATATGTAAATAGGAATATAAATCTTCTATATTTAAACAGGTTTATCTGCATACGTAATATCTAATAAACAATTAAAATATTTAAAATGTACCACTTAATTTATTAAAGCCCCCCCACCCTTTTTTTTTTCTTTTGAGACGGAGTCTCACTCTGTGGCCCAGGCTGTAGTACAGTGGTGCGATTTCGGCTCACTGCAACTTCAGCCTCCCGGGGTCGAAGTAATTCTCCTACCTCAGCCTCCTGAGTAGCTGGGATTACAGGTGCGCACCACTATGCCCAGCTAATTTTTGTATTTTTAGTAGAGACAGGGTTTTACCACTTGGTCAGGCTGTTCTCAAACTCCTGACCTCGTGATCCACCCACCTCGGTCTCCCTGAGCCCTGGGATTACAGGTGCGAGCCACCGCGCCCAGCCTTATTGAAGCCATTTTAAACTACTGTGCATTCTGAAATTTAAAAGGGCTAGGATTCAAAATTGAAATCACTGAGAAGTATATTCAAAATGAAAAATACACAAAATTCTTGGGTTGGACACTTTTCAGTAGCTTTTCAGTTACTTGCTATGGAATATAAAAAGCATTCACTTTTACAAAAATCTAAAATAAAATATTATAAAACTTGATTAATTTAAGGTTCTCATCTTTTGATTTGAACACAAACTTCAAAGTAAAAGAGGAAATATATAAGTAAAAGTCAATTATACGGTTACAGTGTACAGTGAAGTTTCAATAATCTGCTTTATGTCTTAATGCCTTCTATAAACTGTATCTATTCCCTCTGAAAAGCTTTGGATTATATTATCCTCTTAAATCTAGGCTGCTAGTTTTCTCTGGCACATAATCACTGCCTCTAGCCCTCTCTCTTAAAGACAGTGTCTTTATCAGGCTAGGCACAGTGGTTCATGCCTGTAATCCCAGCACTTTGGGAGACCGAGACAGGTGGATCACCTGAGGTCAGGAGTTTGAGACCAGCCTGACCAGTATGATGAAACCCCATCTCTACTAAAAATACAAAAATTAGCCAGACATGGTGGCGTGTGCCTGTAGTCCCAGCTACTCAGGAGGCTGAGACAGGAGAATTGCTTGAACCTGGGAGGTGGAAGTTGCAGTAAACCAAGATCACGCCACTGCACTCCAGACTGGGCGACAGAGCAAGACTCCATCTCAATTAAAAAAAAAAGCATCATTATCATTTGGTGACATCAAACTTTACCATCAGAATCACCCAGATGACTTGTTAAAACACAATTTTTTAGGTTCTACCCTCAGAGTTGCTCATTCAGTAGGTCTGGAGTGGGGCCCAAGAATTTGCATTTCTAGTAAGTACCCAGGTGATAATGCTGCTGATCTGGGACCACCCTTGGAGAACCACTGACTTAAACCATTTGTAACACAGTTAGAAGGCCAAAAACAAAAAACAAAGCAAAGCAAAACAAAACAAAACAAAAAGCAGGAAATAGTCTGTTAAGGAGCAAGGAAAAGAACAGTCCCAGAGGCCGGGCGCAGTGGCTCACGCCTGTAATCCTAGCACTTTGGGAGGCCGAGATGGGCGCATCACTTGAGGTCAGGAGTTCTTAACCAGCCTGGCCAATATGGTAAAACCCCCATCTCTACTAAAAATATAAAAAAATTAGCCAGGTGTGGTCGCAAGCACCTGTAATCCCAGCTACTCAGGAGGCTCAGGCAGGAGAACTGCTTGAACCTGAGGTAGAGGTTGTGGTGAGTCGAAATCATGCCACTGCACTCCAGCCTGAATGACAGAGCAAAACTGTCTCAAAAAAAAAAAAAAAGAAGAAGAAGCAAAGAATAGTCCCAGAACCCTCTTTTTTTCCCCAAAGTGTTGGGATTACAGGTGTGAGCTACCGTGTCCAGCCCCAGAACCCTACCCTTTTTACTCCACAGAAGTATGGAGTCTTATACAGGCCTTCAAGCTGACAGATGAGTACATACTAGCTTTTTGATTCTCTTCCAAATTCCTTATTTATGACTATACTTTTGGCAGTCTCCTGATAAAATGAAATCTACCAATGTATTTCAGTTCAATCACGTGTTTGGGAAATACCTACTTCCCATCAGGTCTAAACTGCTGTAAAGGAGAATATAGGAAAAACAAATAAAACCAAGTTTCTACCCACAATGTACTTCCAATCTAGTTAGGGTAAAAAAGCAGCACACATATGTTCACAAAAACAGCTAAGAAAAGATAGTGCAGTACTAATAAATGAGGATTCAAGTGATAAAATCAAATATTTGTATTTCTTCATTTAACAATATTAGCTAAACACCTACTTTGTGCCTGGCACAGTTATTGGTACTGGGACTAAAGTAGTGACAAAACAAAACAGAGCTAACAATCCAGTGAATGAAACATATGTTGCCTAAGACGTATGTGTACCAGTAGCATACGTTATATTTACTTAGAACCAGAAACACAGTTGCAGGCAAAAGCAGTGAATATAAAAATAAACACAAAAAGCAACTGGATGCCTATTTAACTCTAGAGTCAAGTAGAGAACTGATGTTCAACTTAAAAATTGCTTGCTTGCTTATTCATTTATTTGTTTATTTCTTTGAGACAGGGTCTCACTCTGTTGCCGAGGCTGGAGTGCAATCATAGCTCACCGCAGCCTCGAACTCCTGAACTCAGGCAATCCACCTGCCTCAGCCTCCCAAAGTGCTGGAATTACAGGCTTGAGCCACCACGCCGGGCCTATGTGTTTTTAAGGAGGCCGGCCTGAGTGTGGTTTTCCTTGTTGAAATGTGTCTCTAAGCAGGTTCCTGGCTCCTGGACTTTCTGGGGCAGGGTTTCCACCCTGTCCCTGGGCAGCCCAGGGGCTGACCCGGAAACCGTGAATTCAGCATGCTCAGCAAAGCCTGCAAAGCCATCCTCTTCTGGACAAAGTTCAGACTTCAATTCCTCTGTTCTCAGATGTCAGGCATAGAGCAGAGCCTTGTTAACCACGGTCACACTGTTTCATACTGAATTGTTACAAATTAGTACTTATTCATCCTGCGTAACTGCAACTTTGTATTTTTAACCAATACCTCTTCATTTCCTCCTGCTGATGATCAGGGTATATCCATAGATAATCATCACATTGGCCTGGTGCGGTGGCTCACACGTGTAATCCCAGAACTTTGGGAGGCCGAGGCGGGCGGATCACGAGGTCAGGATACGAGACCATCCTGGCTAAAACGGTGAAATCCTGTCTCTACTAAAAATACAAAAAATTAGGTGGACATGGTGGTGGGTGCCTGTAGTCCGAGCTACTGGGGAGGCTGAGGCAGGAGAATGGTGTGAACCCGGGAGGTGGAGGTTGCAGTGAGTCGAGATCGCACCACTGCACTCCAGCCTGGGCAACAGAGCGACAGAGCGAGACTCTGTCTCAAAAAAAAAAAAAAAAGTCTACCAAGGAGTTTTGCTTCACCCATGAAAGGAAGAAAACGGTCCAGGTAAAACGGCCATCGGGATGTAACAAAAAATTGTCAATGATCACACCCTATAGAGGTGGCTGATTTGATACAACAGCCAGTGAAATTTTTGACGACAAATATTGCAGACTGCAAGAGACGCTTCTTGTTCGTGGAAATAGAAATAAAGCATGGTGTCTGCGCCCGGCTTTCCGCTGTAAGCTGAAGTACTTCACGGCAGCAGGAATTGGGCAACCCACCGTTTACACTCCACCCTTTGAAACTGGGCTGAATGGGGTGGGGACCCGCCTTTGGGGAGAAAAGCAAATTTTATTTAAGCCCCTGAAAGAGGAGAGGGTTGGCCAGGCTCGGTGGCTCACGCCTGTAATCCCAGCACTTTGGGAGGCTGAGGTGGGTGGATCACTTGAGGTCAGGAGTTCGAGACCAGCCTGGCCAGCACGATGAAACCCAGTCTCTACTGAAAATACAAAATGAACCAGGTGTGGTGGCACATGCCTGTAATCCCAGCTACTGGGGAGGCTGAGGCAGGAGAATCGCTTGAACCCGGGAGGCGGAGTTTGCAGTGAGCCAAGATCATTCCATTGCACTCCAGCCTGGGTGACAAGAGCGAAACTCTGTCTCAAAAAAAAAAAAAAATGCGTATTCCCCAGCCACCGGAAAATGAGATTTCTGAGCAGCTGGATCTGATAATTACCATGAGGTGTCATTACATGATATACACGTGCTTGGAAACAGTATATTATATGTCATAAATGTGTACAATCATTATGGAGTTTTTTTCTTGAGACAAGGTCTTGCTCTGTTGCCTAAGCTGGAGTGTGCAGTGATGCAATCATGGCTCAGTGCAGCCTTAACCTCCTGGACTCAAACCATCCTTCCACCTCAGCCTCCCCAGTAGCTGGAAATACAGGTCTGCACCAGTAGGTCCAGCTAACTTTTGTACTTTTTTTTTAAGAGATGGGATCTTGCTATGTTGCCCAGACTGGTCTTGAACTTCTGGCCTTGTGATTCTCCCACCTCAGCCTCCCAAAGCGCTGGGATTACAAGCGTGAGCCACTGCGCCTGATCCGAACGTTGACTCTTAAAAATAAAATAAAACTTTAGAAAAGAAGAAAATCTAGTGGTGGTTTTTGTCTTTTCATTGGCTCTGTGTTACTTTGTAGCTGCAATTTTTCTTTCCTTCATTAAGTCAGCTCCAAATTTGCAAACTCAAGTGAAAGGTGAGTGAGTTTTTTGTGTATCTTCTTGGCATGGGGTGGTGAGTGTGTGTACGTGTGTGTGTGTGTGTGTGTGTGTGTGTGTGTGTGTGTGTATTTGTATGTCCAGGGTTCCTCAACATCCCTGAAGACACTTGGGGCTCCTTAATATCCATATAATTTCTATTTTGACCAGAAAGAGGAAAAGTCAACATTTTGGAAACTCCAAACTCCACCAGGGGCTTGGCTGAAACAGGTGTGTGTCGTTTCTCCAACCAGCCAGCTCACCTGCAAATCTCAGAACTTATGTTAATGAGAGTTGCCTGCCCACAGCTCTTCTACGAATAATGTTTTTGTATGTAAAGGAGAAGCAAAAACATTTTTTTGACCTCTTGGAGCACGAAAATTAATAAGAAGTTGATAAAGCAAAGTCTGTGCCTGCTGAAAATAAAACAAGTGTGGTTTGTTTACCCACTGAAGCCTTCACGTTGTCAGGCCTGCGTCGAGATGATTTATAGACCAACACCCCATGAAATCATTTAAAGCAGATTAGATTCCCAGGACAATCCTCTCTAATATGACAAGCTGATAGAGGCTGACAGGTAACTAGGTTGTTCAGGATGGCAAGCCAGTCCCAGAAATTCTGATTAAATTAAAATATTAATGGTACCGCCGGGAGAGGAAGATTGAGTTGAGGTGGGCAAATTCTGTATGAGGACCGAGGAGCAAACACCACGTCGCAGTCGCTGTGCTGGAAGCAGAAGCCTGGGGGTGCCAGGGGGAGTTACCTTTGCTAAACCCGAAAGCAGGGCCTGCATTGCAATGAACTGTGCGGTGCTGGAGACAGGGTGGGGACAACACACCTGCCAGGCTCAGAAGGGAACACGGAGATTCCCTAATCACCTCCTCTCTCCTGCAGCTGCAAAGGTGACGGCCGGAGACCCTCATCTCTGCAGCTCTTAATTCCCCAGTAACCTCTCCCATGGCCTCTGCAAATGCTGGTTTGCAGGGCACTTTAACCCAATCTGAAATTGAGACTCCAACATCATGACTGTGTACAGATTCTCTAGGAAACTGTCTTGTGCCGGCTGGATGAAAGCTTATTGCTGTGTGTGTGTGTAGTGTGTGTGTGTGGTTTTGTTTTTTCCTTACAGAGAAAAATGCAAAGAATCTTGCCCCGGCCACAGGAAAAGGAGATTCCTGAGCAGTGTACATTTGCTCCTCTTTCTTTCTTTATCTTTCTTTCTTCTTTCTTCCTTTCTTTCCCTGTCTCTCCTTCCTTCTGTCTTCCTTTCTTTCTCTCTCTCCTTCCTTCCTTCTTTTTTCTCTTTCTTTCTTCTTTCTTTCTCTCTCTCCTTCCTTCCTTCTTTCTTCCTTGCTTTCTCTCCTTCCTTCCTTACTTCCTTCTTTCTTTCTCTCTCTCCTTCTTTCTTTCTTTCTCTCTTTCTTTCTTTCCTTCCTTCCTTCCTTTCTTTCCTTTCTTTCTCTCTCTCTCCTTCTCTCTCTCTCCCAATCTCTCTCTTTCTCTCTCCCCTTCCTTCCTTCCTTCCTCCTTCTTTCCTTCCTTCCTTCCTTCCTTCCTTCCCTTTTCTCTCTCTCTCTTTCCAGCTGGCTTGGCTGGCTGGCTGACTTGGCTGGCTTGTGTGGCTGGCTGGGCTGGCTGCGGTGGCTGGGTTGGCTGGCTGGCTGGGCTGGCTGGGCTGGCTGGGCTGGCTGGCTGGCTTGGCTGGCTGGGCTGGCTGGCTGGCTTGAATGGCTTGGCTGGCTTGGCTGGCCTGGCTGGCTGGCTGGCTTGGCTGGCTTGGCAGGCTGGCTGGTTTAGCTGTCTTGGGTGGCTGGGTGGCTGGCTGGCTTGGCTGGCTGGGCTGGCTGGCTGGCCTGGCTGGCTGGCTGGCTTGGCTGGCTTGGCAGGCTGGCTGGTTTAGTTGGCTTGGTTGGCTGGCTGGCTTGGCTGGCTTGACTGGCTGGCTGGCTTGGCTGGCTTGGCTGGCTGGCTGAGTTGGCTGGCTTGGCTGGCTTGGGTGGCTTGGCTGGCTGGCTGGCTTCATTGGCTTGGATGGCTGGCTGGCTTGGATGGCTGCCTGGCTTGGCTAGCTTGGCTGGCTGACTGGCTTGGCTGCCTTGGCTGGCTTGGCTGGCTAGGCGGGCTTGGCTGGCTTGGCTGGCTGGCTTGGCTGGCTTGGCTAGCTGGCTTGGCTAGCTGGCTTGGCTGGCTTGGCTTGCTGGCTGTCTTGGCTGGCTTGGCAGGCTGACTTGGCTGGCTTTGCTGGCTGGCTGGCTTTGCAGGCTTGGCTGGCTTGGCTGGCTTGGCTGGCTTGCTTGGCCGGCTTGCCTGGCTGGGTGGCTTGGCTGGCTTGGCTGGCTGGCTGGCTGGGTGTCTTGGGTGGCTTGGCTGGCTGGGTGGCTTGGCTGGTTTGGCTGGCTGGCTTGGCTGGCTGGCTTGCTGGCTTGCTTGGCTGGCTTGGCTGGCTGGCTGGCTGGCTTGGCTGTCTGGGCTGGCTGGCTCTCTTGGATGGCTTGGCTGACTGGGTGGCTGGCTTGGCTGTCTGTGCTGGCTGGCTGGCTTGGATGGCTTGGCTGACTGGGTGGCTGGCTGGCCTGGCTGGCTGGGTGGCTGACTGGCTTCGCAGGCTTGTCTGGCTTGGCTGGCTGGGTGGCAGGCTGGCCTGGCTGGCTGGGTGGCTGGCTGGCTTGGCTGGCTGGGTGGCTGGCTTGGCTGGCTGGGTGGCTGGCTGGCCTTGCTGGCTGGGTGGCTGGCTGGCTTGGCTGGCTGGCTGGCTGGGTGGCTGGCTGGCGTGGCTGGCTGGCTGGCTGGCTGGCTGGCTGGCTTGGCTGTCTGGGCTGGCTGGCTCTCTTGGATGGCTTGGCTGACTGGGTGGATGGCTTGGCTGTCTGTGCTGGCTGGCTGGCTTGGATGGCTTGGCTGACTGGGTGGCTGGCTGGGTGGCTGACTGGCTTTGCAGGCTTCTCTGGCTTGGCTGGCTGTGTGGCAGGCTGGCCTGGCTGGCTGGGTGGCTGGCTGGCTTGGCTGGCTGGCTGGCTGGGTGGCTGGCTGGCCTGGCTGGCTGGGTGGCTGGCTGGCTTGGCTGGCTGGCTGGCTGGGTGGCTGGCTGGCGTGGCTGGCTGGCTGGCTGGCTGGCTGGCTTGGCTGGTTTGGCTGGCTGGCTGGCTTGGCTCGTTTGGCTGGCTGGCTGGCTTGGCTGGCTGTCCGGCTTGACTGGCTTGGCTGGCTGCCTGGCTTTGCTGGCTGGCTGGCTTGGCTGGCTGCCTGGCTTGGCTGTCTGGGCTGGCTGGGTGGCTTGGCTGGCTTGGCTGGGTCGGTGGCTTGGCTGGCTTGGCTGCCTGGCCGGCTTGGCTGCCTTGGCTGTCTGGCCGGCTTGGTTGGCTGGCAGGCTGGCCGGCTTAGCTGGCTGGCTGGTTGGCTGGCTTGGCTAGCTGACTGGCTTTGCTGGTTGGCTGGCTTGGCTGGCTTGGCTGGCTGGTTGGATGGCCGGGTGGCTTGTCTGGCTTGGCTAGCCGGCTGGCTTAGCTAGCTGGATGGCTTGGCTGGCACGCCTGGCTTGGTTGGCTGGCTAGTTTTGCTGGCTTGGCTGCCTGGCTGGCTTGGCTGGCATGCCTGGCTTTGCTTGCTGGCTGGCTTGGCTGACATGGCTGCCTGGCTGGCTTGGCTGGCATGCCTGTCTTGGCTGGCTGGCGGGCCTGGCTGGCTTGGCTGGTTTGGCTGCCTGGCTGGCTTGGCTGGCATGCCTGTCTTGGCTGGCTGGCGGGCTTGACTGGCTTGGCTGGCTTGGCTGGCTGGGAGGCTTGGCTGGCTTGGCTGGCTGGTTGGCTGGCTGGCTTGGCTGGCTTGGCTGGCTTGTCTGGCTTGGCTGGCTTGGCTGTCTTTGTGGCTTCACTGGCTTGGCTGGCTGGCTGGCTTGGCTGGCTTGGCTGGCTGGCTGGCTGGCTGTCTTGGCTGGCTTGGCTGCCTGGCTGGCTGAGTGGCTTTGCTGGCTGGGTGGCTGGCTGGCTTGGCTGGCTTGGCTGGCTTGGCTGGCTAGCTGGCTTGGCTGACTTGGCTGGCTAGCTGGCTAGCTGGCTTGGCTGACTTGGCCGGCTAGGTAGCTTGGCTGACTTGGCTGGCTAGCTGGCTTGGCTGGCTTGGCTGGCTTGGTTGGCTGGCTGGCTGGCTGGCTTGGCTGGCTTGGCATGCTGGCTGGTTGGGTGGCTTAGCTGGCTGGCTGGCTGGCTGGGTCGCTTGACTGGCTTGGCTGGCTGGCTTGGCTGGCTTGGTTTGCCAGGCTGGAGTGCAATGGTGCAGACTTGGCTAGCTGCAGCCTCCACCTCCTGTGTTCAAGTGATCCTCCTGCGTTGGCCTTCCGAGTAGCTGGGATTAGAGATGAGTGCCACCACGCCCATCTATTTTTTTTGTATATTTAGTGGAGACGTTGTTTCACCATGTTGGCCAGGCTGGTGTTTTTTTTCATATTCTTTTTTTTTTTCTGAGTGGGAGTCTCGCTCTGTTGCCCAGGCTGGAGTGCAGTGGTGCAATCTTTGTTCGCTGCAACCTCCACCTCCCGGGTTCAAGCGATCCTCCTGCCTGGGCCTCCCGAGTAGCTGGGATTACATTCGTGTGCTACCATGCTCAGCTAATTTCTTTGTGTATTTAGTACTGACGGGGTTTCTCCATGTTGGCCAAGGTGCTCTTTTATTTTTCTTTTTTCTGAGATGGAGTCTCGCTCCATTGCCCTGGTTGGAGTTCTTCTTTTTTTTCAGATGGAGTGTCACTCGGTTGTCCAGGGTTCAGTGCAGTGGTGCAATCTTGGCTGGCTGCAGCCTCTACCTCCCGGGTTCAAGCGATCCTCCTGCCTGGGCCTCCCGAGTAGCTGGGATTACAATCGTGTGCCACCACGCTCAGCTAATTTCTTTGTATATTTAGTACTGACGGGGTTTCACCGTGTTGGACAGGCTGGTCTTTTTTTTTTTTTTTCTTTTTTTTGAGATGGAGTCTTGCTATATTGCCCAGGCTGGAGTGCAGTGGTGCAATCTTGGTTGGCTGCAACCTCCACCTCCTGGGTTCAAGCGATCCTCCTGCCTGGGCCTCTCGAGTAGCTGGGATTACAGGCGTGTGCCACCACGCCCAGCTAATTTTTTTGTGTATTTAGTAGAGACGGGGTTTCACCATGTCGGCCAACCTGGTCTTTTTTTTTTTTTTTTTTTTTTTTTTCTGAGATGGAGTCTCGCTCTGTTGACCAGACTGGAGTGCTTCTTTTTTTTCAGATGGACTCTCACTCTGTTGCCCAGGCCAGAGTGCAGTGGTGCAATCTTGGCTCGCTGCAGCCTCCACCTCCCAGGTTCAAGTGATCCTCCTGCCTGGGCCTCCCCAGTAGCTGGGATTAGAGACCTGTGCCACCACGTCCAGCAAATTTTTTTTGTATATTTAGTAGAGACGGGATTTCACCATGTTGGTCAACCTGGTTTTTTTTTTTTTTTTTTTTTTTCTTTGAGTTGGAGTCTCGCTCTATTGCCCAGGCTGGAGTGCTTATTTTTTTTCGGATGGAGTCTCACTTTTTTGCCCAGGTTGGAGTGCAGTGGTGCAATCTTGGCTCGCTGCAGCCTCCACCTCCCAGGTTCAAGCGATCCTCCTGCCTGGGCCTCCCGGGTAGCTGGGATTACATTCATGTGCCACCACGCCCAGCTAATTTCTTTGTATATTTACTAGAGACGGGGTTTCACCATGTTGGCCAGGCTGGTCTTTTTTTTTTTTTTTCCTGAAATGGAGTCTCGCCCTGTTGCCCAGGCTGGAGCGCAGTGGTACAATCTTGGTTCACGGCAACCACCCCCTCCCGGGTTCAAGTGATCATCCTGCCTGGGCCTCCCGAGTACCTGGTATTACAGGTGTGTGCCACCAAACCCAGCTAATTTTTTTTTTTTTTTTGAGATGTAGTATCGCTCTGACACCACCGTGGAGTACAGTGGCGCCATCTCGGCTCACTGCAACCTCCGCTTCCCAGGTTCAAGCAATTCTCCTGCCTCAGCCTCCCGAGTAGCAGGGATTACAGGCATGTGCCACCACACCCAGCTAATTTTTCTGTTTTTAGTAGAGACGGGGTTTCACCATGTTGGTCAGGCTGGTCTCGATCTCGTGACCTCGTGATCCACCCACCTCGGCCTCCCAAGGTGCTGGGATTACAGGCATGAGCCACCACGCCCGGCCCTATTTTTTTTGTATATTTAGAAGAGACGGGGTTTCACCATGTTGGCCAGGCTGGTGTTTTTTTTTTTTTTTTTTTTTTTTTGAGATGGAGTCTCGCTCTATTGGCCAGGCTGGAATGCTTCTGTTTTTTCAGATGGAGTCTCACTCTGTTGCCCAGGCTGGAGTGCAGTGGTGCAATCTTGGCTCGCTGCAGCCTTCACCTCCCTGATTCAAGCGATCCTCCTTCCTGGGCCTCCCGAGTAGCTGGGATTACAGACGTGTGCCAGCACGCCCAGCTAATTTTTTTGTATATTTTGTAGAGATGGGGTTTCACCGTGTTGGCCAGGCTGGTGTATTTTATTTTATTTTTTCTGAGATGGAGTCTCGCCCTGTTGCCCAGGCTGGAGTGCAGTGGTGCAATCTTGGCTCGCTGTAGGCTCCACCCCCAGGGTTCAAGCGATCCTCCTGCCTGGGCCTCCCGAGTAGCTGGGATTACATTCATGTGCCACCACGCCCAGCTAATTTCTTTTTATATTTAGTAGAGATGGGGTTTCACCATGTTGGCCAGGCTGGCCTTTTTTTTTTTTCTTTTTTTTTTCTGAGATTGAGTCTCACCCTGTTGCCCAGGCTGGAATGAGGTGGTGCAATCTTGGTTCGCTTCAACCTCCACCTCCCTGGTTAAAGCGATCCTCCTGCCTGGGCCTCCCGAGTAGCTGGGATTACGGGAATGTGCCACCACGCCTAGATAATTTTTTATACATTCAGTAGAGACAGGGTTTCACCATGTTGGCCAGGCTGTCGTTTTTTTATTTTTTTTGAGATGGAGTCTCGTCCTGGCATGGCTGGCTGGCTGGCTTGTATGGCTTGGCTGGCTGGCTGGCATGGCTGGCTTGGCTGGTTCGCTGGCTGACAGGCTTGGCTGGCTGGGTGGCTTGGCTGGTATGCCTGGCTGGGTGGCTTGGCTGGCTTAGTTGGCTGGGTGGCTTGGCTGGCTGGCTGGCTGGCTGGCTGGCTTGGCTGGTGGGGTGGCTTGGCCGGACGCCTCGCTTGGCTGGCTGGATGGCTTGGCTGGCACGGATTGCTTGGCTGGCTGGCTGGCTTGGCTTGCGTGGCTGGCTGGCTGGCTTGGCTGGCTTGGCTGTCTTGGCTGGCTGGAAGGCTTGGCTGGCTGTGTGGCTTGGCTGTCTTGGCTGGCTGGGTGGCTTGGCTGGCTGTGTGGCTTGGCTGGCTTGGCTGGCTGGGTGGCTTGGCTGGCTGGCTAACTGGCTTGGCTGGCGTGGATGGTTGGCTGGCTTGGTGGGTGGCCGGCTTGGCAGGCTGGCTGGCTGGCCTGACTGGCTTGATGGCTAGATGGCTTGGCTGGCTGGGTGGCTTGCCTGGCTTGGCTGGCTTGGCTGGCTGGCTGGCTGCTTGGCTGGCTTGGCTGGCTGGCTGGCTTGGCTGGTTGGCTGGTTTGGCCGGCTTGGCTGGCTTGGCCGGCCGGGTGGCTTGGCTGGCTTGGCTAGCCGGCTGGCTTAGCTGGCTGGATGGCTTGGCTGGCATGCCTGGCTTGGCTGGCTGGCTGGCTTGGCTGGCTTGGCTGCCTGGCTGGTTTGGCTGGCATGCCTGTCTTGGCTGGCTGTCGGGCTTGACTGGCTTGGCTGGCTTAGCTGCCTGGCTGGCTGGCTGGCGGGCCTGGCTGGCTAGGTGGCTTGGCCTGCTTGGCTGGCTGGGTGGCTGGCTGCCTGGCTGGCTGATTGGCTTGGCTGGCTTGGCTGGCTGGGTGGCGTGGCTGGCTTGGCTGGCTGGGAGGCTTGGCTGGCTTGGCTGGCTGGGAGGCTTGGCTGGCTGGGTGGCTGGCTGGCTTGGCTGGCTTGGCTGGCTTGGCTGGCTTGGGTGGCTGGCTGCCTGGCTGGCTGATTGGCTTGGCTGGCTTGGCTGGCTGGGTGGCTTGGCTGGCTGGGTGGCTTGGCTGGTTTGGCTAGCTGGCTGGCTGGGTAGCTTGGCTAGCTGGCTGGCTTGGCTGGTTGGCTGGCTTGGCTGGCTTGGCTAGCCGGCTGGCTTAGTTGGCTGGATGGCTTGGCTGGCATGCCTGGCTTGGCTGGCTGGCTGGCTTGGCTGGCTTGGCTGCCTGGCTGGCTTGGCTGACATGCCTGGCTTTGCTTGCTGGCTGGCTTGGCTGGCTTGGCTACCTGGCTGGCTTGGCTGCCTGGCTGGCTTGGCTAGCATGCCTGTCTTGGCTGGTTGGCGGGCTTGGCTGGCTTGGCTGGCTTGGCTGGCTTGGCTGTCTGGGCTGGCTGATTGGCTTGGCTGGCTTGGATGGTCGGGTGACTTGGCTGGCTTGAGTGGCTGAGTGGATTGCCTAGCTTGGCTGGCCGGCTGGCTTGGCAGGCTGGCTGGCTTGGCTGGCTTGGCTCGCTGGCTGGCTGGCTGGCTGGCTGGCGGGCCTGGCTGGCTAGGTGGCTTGGCTGGCTTGGCTGGCTGGGTGGCTTGGCTGGTTTTGCTGGCTGGGAGGCTTGGCTGGCTTGAGTGGCTGAGTGGATTGCCTAGCTTGGCTGGCCGGCTGGCTTGGCAGGCTGGCTGGCTTGGCTGGCTTGGCTCGCTGGCTGGCTGGCTGGCGGGCCTGGCTGGCTAGGTGGCTTGGCTGGCTTGGCTGGCTGGGTGGCTTGGCTGGTTTTGCTGGCTGGGAGGCTTGGCTGTCTTGGCTGGCTGGCTGGCTGACTGACTTGGCTGGCTTGGCTGGCTTGGCTGGCTTGGCTGGCTGGCTTGGATGGCCGGGTGGCTTGTCTGGCTTGGCTGGCCAGCTGGCTTAGCCGGCTGGATGGCTTGGCTGGCATGCCTGGCTTGGCTGGCTGGCTGGTTTTGCTGGCTTGGCTGCCTAGCTGGCTTGGCTGGCCTGCCTGGCTTTGCTTGCTGCCTGGCTTGGCTGGCTTGGCTGCCTGGCTGGCTTGGCTGGCATGCCTGTCTTGGCTGCCGGGCGGGCTTGACTGGCTTGGCTGGCTTGGCTGCCTGGCTGGCTTGGCTGGCTTGGCTAGCTGGCTGGCTGGCTGGCGGGCCTGGCTGGCTAGGTGGCTTGGCTGGCTTGGCTGGCTGGGAGGCTTGGCTGGCTTGGCTGGCTGGGTGGCTTGGCTGGCTTGGCTGGCTGGGTGGCTGGCTGGCTTGGCTGGTTTGGCTGGCTTGGCTGGCTTGGGTGGCTGGCTGCCTGGCTGGCTGATTGGCTTGTCTGGCTTGGCTGGCTGGGTGGCTTGGCTGGCTGGGTGGCTTGGCTGGCTTGGCTAGCTGGCTGGCTGGGTAGCTTGGCTAGCTGGCTGGCTTGGCTGGTTGGCTGGCTTGGCTGGCTTGGCTAGCCGGCTGGCTTAGTTGGCTGGATGGCTTGGCTGGCATGCCTGGCTTGGCTGGCTGGCTGGCTTGGCTGGCTTGGCTGCCTGGCTGGCTTGGCTGACATGCCTGGCTTTGCTTGCTGGCTGGCTTGGCTGGCTTGGCTGCCTGGCTGGCTTGGCTAGCATGCCTGTCTTGGCTGGTTGGCGGGCTTGGCTGGCTTGGCTGGCTTGGCTGGCTTGGCTGTCTGGGCTGGCTGATTGGCTTGGCTGGCTTGGATGGTCGGGTGACTTGGCTGGCTTGAGTGGCTGAGTGGATTGCCTAGCTTGGCTGGCCGGCTGGCTTGGCAGGCTGGCTGGCTTGGCTGGCTTGGCTCGCTGGCTGGCTGGCTGGCTGGCTGGCGGGCCTGGCTGGCTAGGTGGCTTGGCTGGCTTGGCTGGCTGGGTGGCTTGGCTGGTTTTGCTGGCTGTGAGGCTTGGCTGGCTTGGCTGGCTGGCTGGCTGACTGACTTGGCTGGCTTGGCTGGCTTGGCTGGCTGGCTTGGATGGCCGGGTGGCTTGTCTGGTTTGGCTGGCCAGCTGGCTTAGCCGGCTGGATGGCTTGGCTGGCATGCCTGGCTTGGCTGGCTGGCTGGTTTTGCTGGCTTGGCTGCCTGGCTGGCTTGGCTGGCCTGCCTGGCTTTGCTTGCTGCCTGGCTTGGCTGGCTTGGCTGCCTGGCTGGCTTGGCTGGCATGCCTGTCTTGGCTGGCTGGCGGGCTTGACTGGCTTGGCTGGCTTGGCTGCCTGGCTGGCTTGGCTGGCTTGGCTACCTGGCTGGCTGGCTGACTGGCGGGCCTGGCTGGCTAGGTGGCTTGGCTGGCTTGGCTGGCTGGGTGGCTTGGCTGGCTTGGCTGGCAGGGAGGCTTGGCTGGCTTGGCTGTCTGGGAGGCTTGGCTGGCTGGGTGGCTGGCTGGCTTGGCTGGCTTGGCTGGCTTGGCTGGCTTGGGTGGCTGGCTGCCTGGCTGGCTGATTGGCTTGGCTGGCTTGGCTGGCTGGGTGGCTTGGCTGGCTGGGTGGCTTGGCTGGTTTGGCTAGCTGGCTGGCTGGGTAGCTTGGCTAGCTGGCTGGCTTGGCTGGTTGGCTGGCTTGGCTGGCTTGGCTAGCCGGCTGGCTTAGTTGGCTGGATGGCTTGGCTGGCATGTCTGGCTTGGCTGGCTGGCTGGCTTGGCTGGCTTGGCTGCCTGGCTGGCTTGGCTAGCATGCCTGTCTTGGCTGGTTGGCGGGCTTGGCTGGCTTGGCTGCCTTGGCTGGCTTGGCTGTCTGGGCTGGCTGACTGGCTTGGCTGGCTTGGATGGTCGGGTGACTTGGCTGGCTTGAGTGGCTGAGTGGATTGCCTAGCTTGGCTGGCCGGCTGGCTTGGCAGGCTGGCTGGCTTGGCTGGCTTGGCTCGCTGGCTGGCTGGCTGGCTGGCTGGCGGGCCTGGCTGGCTAGGTGGCTTGGCTGGCTTGGCTGGCTGGGTGGCTTGGCTGGTTTTGCTGGCTGTGAGGCTTGGCTGGCTTGGCTGGCTGGCTGGCTGACTGACTTGGCTGGCTTGGCTGGCTTGGCTGGCTGGCTTGGATGGCCGGGTGGCTTGTCTGGCTAGGCTGGCCAGCTGGCTTAGCCGGCTGGATGGCTTGGCTGGCATGCCTGGCTTGGCTGGCTGGCTGGTTTTGCTGGCTTGGCTGCCGGGCTGGCTTAGCTGGCCTGCCTGGCTTTGCTTGCTGCCTGGCTTGGCTGGCTTGGCTGCCTGGCTGGCTTGGCTGGCATGCCTGTCTTGGCTGGCTGGCGGGCTTGACTGGCTTGGCTGGCTTGGCTGCCTGGCTGGCTTGGCTGGCTTGGCTAGCTGGCTGGCTGGCTGGCGGGCCTGGCTGGCTAGGTGGCTTGGCTGGCTTGGCTGGCTGGGTGGCTTGGCTGGCTTGGCTGGCTGGGAGGCTTGGCTGGCTTGGCTGTCTGGGAGGCTTGGCTGGCTGGGTGGCTGGCTGGCTTGGCTGGCTTGGATGGTCGGGTGACTTGGCTGGCTTGAGTGGCTGAGTGGATTGCCTAGCTTGGCTGGCCGGCTGGCTTGGCAGGCTGGCTGGCTTGGCTGGCTTGGCTCGCTGGCTGGCTGGCTGGCGGGCCTGGCTGGCTAGGTGGCTTGGCTGGCTTGGCTGGCTGGGTGGCTTGGCTGGTTTTGCTGGCTGGGAGGCTTGGCTGTCTTGGCTGGCTGGCTGGCTGACTGACTTGGCTGGCTTGGCTGGCTTGGCTGGCTTGGCTGGCTGGCTTGGATGGCCGGGTGGCTTGTCTGGCTTGGCTGGCCAGCTGGCTTAGCCGGCTGGATGGCTTGGCTGGCATGCCTGGCTTGGCTGGCTGGCTGGTTTTGCTGGCTTGGCTGCCTAGCTGGCTTGGCTGGCCTGCCTGGCTTTGCTTGCTGCCTGGCTTGGCTGGCTTGGCTGCCTGGCTGGCTTGGCTGGCATGCCTGTCTTGGCTGGCGGGCGGGCTTGACTGGCTTGGCTGGCTTGGCTGCCTGGCTGGCTTGGCTGGCTTGGCTAGCTGGCTGGCTGGCTGGCGGGCCTGGCTGGCTAGGTGGCTTGGCTGGCTTGGCTGGCTGTGTGGCTTGGCTGGTTTTGCTGGCTGGGAGGCTTGGCTGGCTTGGCTGGCTGGCTGGTTGACTGACTTGGCTGGCTTGGCTGGCTTGGCTGGCTGGCTTGGATGGCCGGGTGGCTTGTCTGGCTTGGCTGGCCAGCTGGCTTAGCCGGCTGGATGGCTTGGCTGGCATGCCTGGCTTGGCTGGCTGGCTGGTTTTGCTGGCTTGGCTGCCTGGCTGGCTTGGCTGGCCTGCCTGGCTTTGCTTGCTGCCTGGTTTGGCTGGCTTGGCTGCCTGGCTGGCTTGGCTGGCATGCCTGTCTTGGCTGGCTGGCGGGCTTGACTGGCTTGGCTGGCTTGGCTGCCTGGCTGGCTTGGCTGGCTTGGCTAGCTGGCTGGCTGGCTGGCGGGCCTGGCTGGCTAGGTGGCTTGGCTGGCTTGGCTGGCTGGGAGGATTGGCTGGCTTGGCTGGCTGGGAGGCTTGGCTGGCTTGGCCGGCTGGGTGGCTTGGCTGGCTTGGCTGGCTGGGAGGCTTCGCTGGCTTGGCTGTCTGGGAGGCTTGGCTGGCTGGGTGGCTGGCTGGCTTGGCTGGCTTGGCTGGCTTGGTTGGCTTGGGTGGCTGGCTGCCTGGCTGGCTGATTGGCTTGGCTGGCTTGGCTGGCTGGGTGTCTTGGCTGGCTGGGTGGCTTGGCTGGTTTGGCTAGCTTGCTGGCTGGGTAGCTTGGCTAGCTGGCTGGCTTGGCTGGTTGGCTGGCTTGGCTGGCTTGGCTAGCCGGCTGGCTTAGTTGGCTGGATGGCTTGGCTGGCATGCCTGGCTTGGCTGGCTGGCTGGCTTGGCTGGCTTGGCTGCCTGGCTGGCTTGGCTGACATGCCTGGCTTTGCTTGCTGGCTGGCTTGGCTGGCTTGGCTGCCTGGCTGGCTTGGCTAGCATGCCTGTCTTGGCTGGTTGGTGGGCTTGACTGGCTTGGCTGGCTTGGCTGGCTTGGCTGTCTGGGCTGGCTGACTGGCTTGGCTGGCTTGGACGGTCGGGTGACTTGGCTGGCTTGAGTGGCTGAGTGGATTGCCTAGCTTGGCTGGCCGGCTGGCTTGGCAGGCTGGCTGGCTTGGCTGGCTTGGCTCGCTGGCTGGCTGGCTGGCGGGCCTGGCTGGCTAGGTGGCTTGGCTGGCTTGGCTGGCTGGGTGGCTTGGCTGGTTTTGCTGGCTGGGAGGCTTGTCTGTCTTGGCTGGCTGGCTGGCTGACTGACTTGGCTGGCTTGGCTGGCTTGGCTGGTTTGGCTGGCTGGCTTGGATGGCCGGGTGGCTTGTCTGGCTTGGCTGGCCAGCTGGCTTAGCCGGCTGGATGGCTTGGCTGGCATGCCTGGCTTGGCTGGCTGGCTGGTTTTTCTGGCTTGGCTGTCTAGCTGGCTTGGCTGGCCTGCCTGGCTTTGCTTGCTGCCTGGCTTGGCTGGCTTGGCTGCCTGGCTAGCTTGGCTGGCATGCCTGTCTTGGCTGGCTGGCGGGCTTGACTGGCTTGGCTGGCTTGGCTGCCTGGCTGGCTTGGCTGGCTTGGCTAGCTGGCTGGCTGGGTAGCTTGGCTAGCTGGCTGGCTTGGCTGGTTGGCTGGCTTGGCTGGCTTGGCTAGCCGGCTGGCTTAGTTGGCTGGATGGCTTGGCTGGCATGCCTGGCTTGGCTGGCTGGCTGGCTTGGCTGGCTTGGCTGCCTGGCTGGCTTGGCTGACATGCCTGGCTTTGCTTGCTGGCTGGCTTGGCTGGCTTGGCTGCCTGGCTGGCTTGGCTAGCATGCCTGTCTTGGCTGGTTGGCGGGCTTGGCTGGCTTGGCTGGCTTGGCTGGCTTGGCTGTCTGGGCTGGCTGACTGGCTTGGCTGGCTTGGATGGTCGGGTGACTTGGCTGGCTTGAGTGGCTGAGTGGATTGCCTAGCTTGGCTGGCCGGCTGGCTTGGCAGGCTGGCTGGCTTGGCTGGCTTGGCTCGCTGGCTGGCTGGCTGGCGGGCCTGGCTGGCTAGGTGGCTTGGCTGGCTTGGCTGGCTGGGTGGCTTGGCTGGTTTTGCTGGCTGGGAGGCTTGGCTGGCTTGGCTGGCTGGCTGGCTGACTGACTTGGCTGGCTTGGCTGGCTTGGCTGGCTGGCTTGGATGGCCGGGTGGCTTGTCTGGTTTGGCTGGCCAGCTGGCTTAGCCGGCTGGATGGCTTGGCTGGCATGCCTGGCTTGGCTGGCTGGCTGGTTTTGCTGGCTTGGCTGCCTGGCTGGCTTGGCTGGCCTGCCTGGCTTTGCTTGCTGCCTGGCTTGGCTGGCTTGGCTGCCTGGCTGGCTTGGCTGGCATGCCTGTCTTGCCTGGCTGGCGGGCTTGACTGGCTTGGCTGGCTTGGCTGCCTGGCTGGCTTGGCTGGCTTGGCTAGCTGGCTGGCTGGCTGGCGGGCCTGGCTGGCTAGGTGGCTTGGCAGGCTTGGCTGGCTGGGTGGCTTGGCTGGCTTGGCTGGCTGGGAGGCTTGGCTGGCTTGGCTGTCTGGGAGGCTTGGCTGGCTGGGTGGCTGGCTGGCTTGGCTGGCTAGGCTGGCTTGGCTGGCTTGGGTGGCTGGCTGCCTGGCTGGCTGATTGTCTTGGCTGGCTTGGCTGGCTGGGTGGCTTGGCTGGCTGGGTGGCTTGGCTGGTTTGGCTAGCTGGCTGGCTGGGTAGCTTGGCTAGCTGGCTGGCTTGGCTGGTTGGCTGGCTTGGCTGGCTTGGCTAGCCGGCTGGCTAAGTTGGCTGGATGGCTTGGCTGGCATGCCTGGCTTGGCTGGCTGGCTGGCTTGGCTGGCTTGGCTGCCTGGCTGGCTTGGCTGACATGCCTGGCTTTGCTTGCTGGCTGGCTTGGCTGGCTTGGCTGCCTGGCTGGCTTGGCTAGCATGCCTGTCTTGGCTGGTTGGCGGGCTTGGCTGGCTTGGCTGGCTTGGCTGGCTTGGCTATCTGGGCTGGCTGACTGGCTTGGCTGGCTTGGATGGTCGGGTGACTTGGCTGGCTTGAGTGGCTGAGTGGATTGCCTAGCTTGGCTGGCCGGCTGGCTTGGCAGGCTGGCTGGCTTGGCTGGCTTGGCTCGCTGGCTGGCTGGCTGGCGGGCCTGGCTGGCTAGGTGGCTTGGCTGGCTTGGCTGGCTGGGTGGCTTGGCTGGTTTTGCTGGCTGGGAGGCTTGGCTGTCTTGGCTGGCTGGCTGGCTGACTGACTTGGCTGGCTTGGCTGGCTTGGCTGGCTTGGCTGGCTGGCTTGGATGGCCGGGTGGCTTGTCTGGCTTGGCTGGCCAGCTGGCTTAGCCGGCTGGATGGCTTGGCTGGCATGCCTGGCTTGGCTGGCTGGCTGGTTTTGCTGGCTTGGCTGCCTAGCTGGCTTGGCTGGCCTGCCTGGCTTTGCTTGCTGCCTGGCTTGGCTGGCTTGGCTGCCTGGCTGGCTTGGCTGGCATGCCTGTCTTGGCTGCCGGGCGGGCTTGACTGGCTTGGCTGGCTTGGCTGCCTGGCTGGCTTGGCTGGCTTGGCTAGCTGGCTGGCTGGCTGGCGGGCCTGGCTGGCTAGGTGGCTTGGCTGGCTTGGCTGGCTGGGAGGCTTGGCTGGCTTGGCTGGCTGGGTGGCTTGGCTGGCTTGGCTGGCTGGGTGGCTGGCTGGCTTGGCTGGTTTGGCTGGCTTGGCTGGCTTGGGTGGCTGGCTGCCTGGCTGGCTGATTGGCTTGTCTGGCTTGGCTGGCTGGGTGGCTTGGCTGGCTGGGTGGCTTGGCTGGCTTGGCTAGCTGGCTGGCTGGGTAGCTTGGCTAGCTGGCTGGCTTGGCTGGTTGGCTGGCTTGGCTGGCTTGGCCAGCCGGCTGGCTTAGTTGGCTGGATGGCTTGGCTGGCATGCCTGGCTTGGCTGGCTGGCTGGCTTGGCTGGCTTGGCTGCCTGGCTGGCTTGGCTGACATGCCTGGCTTTGCTTGCTGGCTGGCTTGGCTGGCTTGGCTGCCTGGCTGGCTTGGCTAGCATGCCTGTCTTGGCTGGTTGGCGGGCTTGGCTGGCTTGGCTGGCTTGGCTGGCTTGGCTGTCTGGGCTGGCTGATTGGCTTGGCTGGCTTGGATGGTCGGGTGACTTGGCTGGCTTGAGTGGCTGAGTGGATTGCCTAGCTTGGCTGGCCGGCTGGCTTGGCAGGCTGGCTGGCTTGGCTGGCTTGGCTCGCTGGCTGGCTGGCTGGCTGGCTGGCGGGCCTGGCTGGCTAGGTGGCTTGGCTGGCTTGGCTGGCTGGGTGGCTTGGCTGGTTTTGCTGGCTGTGAGGCTTGGCTGGCTTGGCTGGCTGGCTGGCTGACTGACTTGGCTGGCTTGGCTGGCTTGGCTGGCTGGCTTGGATGGCCGGGTGGCTTGTCTGGTTTGGCTGGCCAGCTGGCTTAGCCGGCTGGATGGCTTGGCTGGCATGCCTGGCTTGGCTGGCTGGCTGGTTTTGCTGGCTTGGCTGCCTGGCTGGCTTGGCTGGCCTGCCTGGCTTTGCTTGCTGCCTGGCTTGGCTGGCTTGGCTGCCTGGCTGGCTTGGCTGGCATGCCTGTCTTGGCTGGCTGGCGGGCTTGACTGGCTTGGCTGGCTTGGCTGCCTGGCTGGCTTGGCTGGCTTGGCTACCTGGCTGGCTGGCTGACTGGCGGGCCTGGCTGGCTAGGTGGCTTGGCTGGCTTGGCTGGCTGGGTGGCTTGGCTGGCTTGGCTGGCAGGGAGGCTTGGCTGGCTTGGCTGTCTGGGAGGCTTGGCTGGCTGGGTGGCTGGCTGGCTTGGCTGGCTTGGCTGGCTTGGCTGGCTTGGGTGGCTGGCTGCCTGGCTGGCTGATTGGCTTGGCTGGTTGGCTGGCTGGGTGGCTTGGCTGGCTGGGTGGCTTGGCTGGTTTGGCTAGCTGGCTGGCTGGGTAGCTTGGCTAGCTGGCTGGCTTGGCTGGTTGGCTGGCTTGGCTGGCTTGGCTAGCCGGCTGGCTTAGTTGGCTGGATGGCTTGGCTGGCATGTCTGGCTTGGCTGGCTGGCTGGCTTGGCTGGCTTGGCTGCCTGGCTGGCTTGGCTAGCATGCCTGTCTTGGCTGGTTGGCGGGCTTGGCTGGCTTGGCTGCCTTGGCTGGCTTGGCTGTCTGGGCTGGCTGACTGGCTTGGCTGGCTTGGATGGTCGGGTGACTTGGCTGGCTTGAGTGGCTGAGTGGATTGCCTAGCTTGGCTGGCCGGCTGGCTTGGCAGGCTGGCTGGCTTGGCTGGCTTGGCTCGCTGGCTGGCTGGCTGGCTGGCTGGCGGGCCTGGCTGGCTAGGTGGCTTGGCTGGCTTGGCTGGCTGGGTGGCTTGGCTGGTTTTGCTGGCTGTGAGGCTTGGCTGGCTTGGCTGGCTGGCTGGCTGACTGACTTGGCTGGCTTGGCTGGCTTGGCTGGCTGGCTTGGATGGCCGGGTGGCTTGTCTGGCTAGGCTGGCCAGCTGGCTTAGCCGGCTGGATGGCTTGGCTGGCATGCCTGGCTTGGCTGGCTGGCTGGTTTTGCTGGCTTGGCTGCCGGGCTGGCTTAGCTGGCCTGCCTGGCTTTGCTTGCTGCCTGGCTTGGCTGGCTTGGCTGCCTGGCTGGCTTGGCTGGCATGCCTGTCTTGGCTGGCTGGCGGGCTTGACTGGCTTGGCTGGCTTGGCTGCCTGGCTGGCTTGGCTGGCTTGGCTAGCTGGCTGGCTGGCTGGCGGGCCTGGCTGGCTAGGTGGCTTGGCTGGCTTGGCTGGCTGGGTGGCTTGGCTGGCTTGGCTGGCTGGGAGGCTTGGCTGGCTTGGCTGTCTGGGAGGCTTGGCTGGCTGGGTGGCTGGCTGGCTTGGCTGGCTTGGCTGGCTTGGCTGGCTTGGGTGGCTGGCTGCCTGGCTGGCTGATTGGCTTGGCTGGCTTGGCTGGCTGGGTGGCTTGGCTGGCTGGGTGGCTTGGCTGGTTTGGCTAGCTGGCTGGCTGGGTAGCTTGGCTAGCTGGCTGGCTTGGCTGGTTGGCTGCCTTGGCTGGCTTGGCTAGCCGGCTGGCTTAGTTGGCTGGATGGCTTGGCTGGCATGCCTGGCTTGGCTGGCTGGCTGGCTTGGCTGGCTTGGCTGGCTGGCTTGGATGGCCGGGTGGCTTGTCTGGCTTGGCTGGCCAGCTGGCTTAGCCGGCTGGATGGCTTGGCTGGCATGCCTGGCTTGGCTGGCTGGCTGGTTTTGCTGGCTTGGCTGCCTAGCTGGCTTGGCTGGCCTGCCTGGCTTTGCTTGCTGCCTGGCTTGGCTGGCTTGGCTGCCTGGCTGGCTTGGCTGGCATGCCTGTCTTGGCTGGCGGGCGGGCTTGACTGGCTTGGCTGGCTTGGCTGCCTGGCTGGCTTGGCTGGCTTGGCTAGCTGGCTGGCTGGCTGGCGGGCCTGGCTGGCTAGGTGGCTTGGCTGGCTTGGCTGGCTGGGTGGCTTGGCTGGTTGGCTGGCTTGGCTGGCTTGGCTAGCCGGCTGGCTTAGTTGGCTGGATGGCTTGGCTGGCATGCCTGGCTTGGCTGGCTGGCTGGCTTGGCTGGCTTGGCTGCCTGGCTGGCTTGGCTGACATGCCTGGCTTTGCTTGCTGGCTGGCTTGGCTGGCTTGGCTGCCTGGCTGGCTTGGCTAGCATGCCTGTCTTGGCTGGTTGGCGGGCTTGACTGGCTTGGCTGGCTTGGCTGGCTTGGCTGTCTGGGCTGGCTGACTGGCTTGGCTGGCTTGGACGGTCGGGTGACTTGGCTGGCTTGAGTGGCTGAGTGGATTGCCTAGCTTGGCTGGCCGGCTGGCTTGGCAGGCTGGCTGGCTTGGCTGGCTTGGCTCGCTGGCTGGCTGGCTGGCGGGCCTGGCTGGCTAGGTGGCTTGGCTGGCTTGGCTGGCTGGGTGGCTTGGCTGGTTTTGCTGGCTGGGAGGCTTGTCTGTCTTGGCTGGCTGGCTGGCTGACTGACTTGGCTGGCTTGGCTGGCTTGGCTGGTTTGGCTGGCTGGCTTGGATGGCCGGGTGGCTTGTCTGGCTTGGCTGGCCAGCTGGCTTAGCCGGCTGGATGGCTTGGCTGGCATGCCTGGCTTGGCTGGCTGGCTGGTTTTTCTGGCTTGGCTGTCTAGCTGGCTTGGCTGGCCTGCCTGGCTTTGCTTGCTGCCTGGCTTGGCTGGCTTGGCTGCCTGGCTAGCTTGGCTGGCATGCCTGTCTTGGCTGGCTGGCGGGCTTGACTGGCTTGGCTGGCTTGGCTGCCTGGCTGGCTTGGCTGGCTTGGCTAGCTGGCTGGCTGGCTGGCGGTCCTGGCTGGCTAGGTGGCTTGGCTGGCTTGGCTGGCTGGGAGGCTTGGCTGGCTTTGCTGGCTGGGAGGCTTGGCTGGCTTGGCTGGCTGGGTGGCTTGGCTGGCTTGGCTGGCTGGGAGGCTTGGCTGGCTTGGCTGGCTGGGTGGCTTGGCTGGCTGGGTGGCTTGGCTGGCTTGGCTAGCTGGCTGGCTGGGTAGCTTGGCTAGCTGGCTGGCTTGGCTGGTTGGCTGGCTTGGCTGGCTTGGCTAGCCGGCTGGCTTAGTTGGCTGGATGGCTTGGCTGGCATGCCTGGCTTGGCTGGCTGGCTGGCGTGGCTGGCTTGGCTGCCTGGCTGGCTTGGCTGACATGCCTGATTTTGCTTGCTGGCTGGCTTGGCTGGCTTGGCTGCCTGGCTGGCTTGGCTGCCTGGCTGGCTTGGCTAGCATGCCTGTCTTGGCTGGTTGGCGGGCTTGGCTGGCTTGGCTGGCTTGGCTGGCTTGGCTGTCTGGGCTGGCTGACTGGCTTGGCTGGCTTGGATGGTCGGGTGACTTGGCTGGCTTGAGTGGCTGAGTGGTTTGCCTAGCTTGGCTGGCCGGCTGGCTTGGCAGGCTGGCTGGCTTGGCTGGCTTGGCTCGCTGGCTGGCTGGCTGGCGGGCCTGGCTGGCTAGGTGGCTTGGCTGGCTTGGCTGGCTGGGTGGCTTGGCTGGTTTTGCTGGCTGGGAGGCTTGGCTGGCTTGGCTGGCTGGCTGCTTGACTGACTTGGCCGGCTTGGCTGGCTTGGCTGGCTTGGCTGGCTGGCCGGGTGGCTTGTCTGGCTTGGCTGGCCAGCTGGCTTACCCGGCTGGATGGCTTGGCTGGCATGCCTGGCTTGGCTGGCTGGCTGGTTTTGCTGGCTTGGCTGCCTGGCTGGCTTGGCTGGCCTGCCTGGCTTTGCTTGCTGCCTGGCTTGGCTGGCTTGGCTGCCTGGCTGGCTTGGCTGGCATGCCTGTCTTGGCTGGCTGGCGGGCTTGACTGGCTTGGCTGGCTTGGCTGCCTGGCTGGCTTGGCTGGCTTGGCTAGCTGGCTGGCTGGGTAGCTTGGCTAGCTGGCTGGCTTGGCTGGTTGGCTGGCTTGGCTGGCTTGGCTAGCCGGCTGGCTTAGTTGGCTGGATGGCTTGGCTGGCATGCCTGGCTTGGCTGGCTGGCTGGCTTGGCTGGCTTGGCTGCCTGGCTGGCTTGGCTGACATGCCTGGCTTTGCTTGCTGGCTGGCTTGGCTGGCTTGGCTGCCTGGCTGGCTTGGCTAGCATGCCTGTCTTGGCTGGTTGGCGGGCTTGGCTGGCTTGGCTGGCTTGGCTGGCTTGGCTGTCTGGGCTGGCTGACTGGCTTGGCTGGCTTGGATGGTCGGGTGACTTGGCTGGCTTGAGTGGCTGAGTGGATTGCCTAGCTTGGCTGGCCGGCTGGCTTGGCAGGCTGGCTGGCTTGGCTGGCTTGGCTCGCTGGCTGGCTGGCTGGCGGGCCTGGCTGGCTAGGTGGCTTGGCTGGCTTGGCTGGCTGGGTGGCTTGGCTGGTTTTGCTGGCTGGGAGGCTTGGCTGGCTTGGCTGGCTGGCTGGCTGACTGACTTGGCTGGCTTGGCTGGCTTGGCTGGCTGGCTTGGATGGCCGGGTGGCTTCTCTGGCTTGGCTGGCCAGCTGGCTTAGCCGGCTGGATGGCTTGGCTGGCATGCCTGGCTTGGCTGGCTGGCTGGTTTTGCTGGCTTGGCTGCCTGGCTGGCTTGGCTGGCCTGCCTGGCTTTGCTTGCTGCCTGGCTTGGCTGGCTTGGCTGCCTGGCTGGCTTGGCTGGCATGCCTGTCTTGGCTGGCTGGCAGGCTTGACTGGCTTGGCTGGCTTGGCTGCCTGGCTGGCTTGGCTGGCTTGGCTAGCTGGCTGGCTGGCTGGCGGGCCTGGCTGGCTAGGTGGCTTGGCTGGCTTGGCTGACTGGGTGGCTTGGCTGGCTTGGCTGGCTGGGAGGCTTGGCTGGCTTGGCTGGCTGGGTGGCTTGGCTGGCTTGGCTGGCTGGGTGGCTGGCTGGCTTGGCTGGCTTGGCTGGCTTGGCTGGCTTGGGTGGCTGGCTGCCTGGCTGGCTGATTGTCTTGGCTGGCTTGGCTGGCTGGGTGGCTTGGCTGGTTTGGCTAGCTTGCTGGCTGGGTAGCTTGGCTAGCTGGCTGGCTTGGCTGGTTGGCTGGCTTGGCTGGCTTGGCTAGCCGGCTGGCTTAGTTGGCTGGATGGCTTGGCTGGCATGCCTGGCTTGGCTGGCTGGCTGGCTTGGCTGACATGCCTGATTTTGCTTGCTGGCTGGCTTGGCTAGCTGGCTGGCTGGCTGGCGGGCCTGGCTGGCTAGGTGGCTTGGCTGGCTTGGCTGGCTGGGTGGCTTGGCTGGCTTGGCTGGCTGGGTGGCTTGGCTGGCTTGGCTGGCTGGGAGGCTTGGCTGGCTGGCGGGCTTGACTGGCTTGGCTGGCTTGGCTGCCTGGCTGGCTTGGCTGGCTTCGCTAGATGGCTGGCTGGCTGGCGGGCTTGGCTGGCTAGGTGGCTTGGCTGGCTTGGCTGGCTGGCAGGCTTGGCTGGCTTGGCTGGCTGGGAGGCTTGGCTGGCTTGGCTGGCTGGGTGGCTTGGCTGGCTTGGCTGGCTGGGAGGCTTGGCTGGCTTGGCTGGCTGGGTGGCTTGGCTGGCTTGGCTGGCTGGGTGGCTGGCTGGCTTGGCTGGCTTTGCTGCCTTGGCTGGCTTGGGTGGCTGGCTGCCTGGCTGGCTTGGCTGGCTTGGCTAGCTGGCTGGCTGGCTGGCGGTCCTGGCTGGCTAGGTGGCTTGGCTGGCTTGGCTGGCTGGGTGGCTGGCTGGCTTGGCTGGCTTGGGTGGCTGGCTGCCTGGCTGGCTGTTTGGCTTGGCTGGCTTGGCTGGCTGGGTGGCTTGGCTGGTTTGGCTAGCTGGCTGGCTGGGTAGCTTGGCTAGCTGGCTGGCTTGGCTGGTTGGCTGGCTTGGCTGGCTTGGCTAGCCGGCTGGCTTAGTTGGCTGGATGGCTTGGCTGGCATGCCTGGCTTGGCTGGCTGACTGACTTGGCTGGCTTGGCTGGCTTGGCTGGCTGGCTTGGATGGCCGGGTGGCTTGTCTGGCTTGGCTGGCCAGCTGGCTTAGCCGCCTGGATGGCTTGGCTGGCATGCCTGGCTTGGCTGGCTGGCTGGTTTTGCTGGCTTGGCTGCCTGGCTGGCTTGGCTGGCCTGCCTGGCTTTGCTTGCTGCCTGGCTTGGCTGGCTTGGCTGCCTGGCTGGCTTGGCTGGCATGCCTGTCTTGGCTGGCTGGCGGGCTTGACTGGCTTGGCTGGCTTGGCTGCCTGGCTGGCTTGGCTGGCTTGGCTAGCTGGCTGGCTGGCTGGCGGGCCTGGCTGGCTAGGTGGCTTGGCTGGCTTGGCTGGCTGGGTGGCTTGTCTGGCTTGGCTGGCTGTGAGGCTTGGCTGGCTTGGCTGGCTGGGAGGCTTCGCTGGCTGGGTGGCTGGCTGGCTTGGCTGGCTTGGCTGGCTTGGGTGGCTGGCTGCCTGGCTGGCTGATGGGCTTGGCTGGCTTGGCTGGCTGGGTGGCTTGGCTGGCTGGGTGGCTTGGCTGGTTTGGCTAGCTGGCTGGCTGGGTAGCTTGGCTAGCTGGCTGGCTTGGCTGGTTGGCTGGCTTGGCTGGCTTGGCTAGCCGGCTGGCTTAGTTGGCTGGATGGCTTGGCTGGCATGCCTGGCTTGGCTGGCGTGGCTGGCTTGGCTGCCTAGCTGGCTTGGCTGACATGCCTGGCTTTGCTTGCTGGCTGGCTTGGCTGGCTTGGCTGCCTGGCTGGCTTGGCTGTCTGGCTGGCTTGGCTAGCATGCCTGTCTTGGCTGGTTGGCGGGCTTGGCTGGCTTGGCTGGCTTGGCTGGCTTGGCTGTCTGGGCTGGCTGACTGGCTTGGCTGGCTTGGATGGTCGGGTGACTTGGCTGGCTTGAGTGGCTCAGTGGATTGCCTAGCTTGGCTGGCCGGCTGGCTTGGCAGGCTGGCTGGCTTGGCTGGCTGGGTGGCTTGGCTGGTTTTGCTGGCTGGGAGGCTTGGCTGGCTTGGCTGGCTGGCTGGTTGACTGACTTGGCTGGCTTGGCTGGCTTGGCTGGCTTGGCTGGCTGGCTTGGATGGCCGGGTGGCTTGTCTGGCTTGGCTGGCCAGCTGGCTTAGCCGGCTGGATGGCTTGGCTGGCATGCCTGGCTTGGCTGGCTGGCTGGTTTTGCTGGCTTGGCTGCCTAGCTGGCTTGGCTGGCCTGCCTGGCTTTGCTTGCTGCCTGGCTTGGCTGGCTTGGCTGCCTGGCTGGCTTGGCTGGCATGCCTGTCTTGGCTGGCTGGCGGGCTTGACTGGCTTGGCTGGCTTGGCTGCCTGGCTGGCTTGGCTGGCTTGGCTAGCTGGCTGGCTGGCTGGCGGGCCTGGCTGGCTAGGTGGCTTGGCTGGCTTGGCTGGCTGGGTGGCTTGGCTTGCTTGGCTGGCTGGGAGGCTTGGCTGGCTTGGCTGGCTGGGAGGCTTGGCTGGCTGGGTGGCTGGCTGGCTTGCCTGGCTTTGCTGGCTTGGCTGGCTTGGGTGGCTGGCTGCCTGGCTGGCTGATGGGCTTGGCTGGCTTGGCTGGCTGGGTGGCTTGGCTGGTTTGGCTAGCTGGCTGGCTGGGTAGCTTGGCTAGCCGGCTGGCTTGGCTGGTTGGCTGGCTTGGCTGGCTTGGCTGGCTTGGCTGTCTGGGCTGGCTGACTGGCTTGGCTGGCTTGGATGTTCGGGTGACTTGGCTGGCTTGAGTGGCTGAGTGGATTGCCTAGCTTGGCTGGCCGGCTGGCTTGGCAGGCTGGCTGGCTTGGCTGGCTTGGCTCGCTGGCTGGCTGGCTGGCTGGCTGGCGGGCCTGGCTGGCTAGGTGGCTTGGCTGGCTTGGCTGGCTGGGTGGCTTGGCTGGTTTTGCTGGCTGGGAGGCTTGGCTGGCTTGGCTGGCTGGCTGGCTGACTGACTTGGCTGGCTTGGCTGGCTTGGCTGGCTGGCTTGGATGGCCGGGTGGCTTGTCTGGCTTGGCTGGCCAGCTGGCTTAGCCGGGGGGATGGCTTGGCTGGCATGCCTGGCTTGGCTGGCTGGCTGGTTTTTCTGGCTTGGCTGCCTAGCTGGCTTGGCTGGCCTGCCTGGCTTTGCTTGCTGCCTGGCTTGGCTGGCTTGGCTGCCTGGCTGGCTTGGCTGGCATGCCTGTCTTGGCTGCCTGGCGGGCTTGACTGGCTTGGCTGGCTTGGCTGCCTGGCTGGCTTGGCTGGCTTGGCTGGCTAGGTGGCTTGGCTGGTTTGGCTAGCTGGCTGGCTGGGTAGCTTGGCTAGCCGGCTGGCTTGGCTGGTTGGCTGGCTTGGCTGGCTTGGCTAGCCGGCTGGCTTAGTTGGCTGGATGGCTTGGCTGGCATGCCTGGCTTGGCTGGCTGGCTGGCGTGGCTGGCTTGGCTGCCTGGCTGGCTTGGCTGACATGCCTGGCTTTGCTTGCTGGCTGGCTTGGCTGGCTTGGCTGCCTGCCTGGCTTGGCTGCCTGGCTGGCTTGGCTAGCATGCCTGTCTTGGCTGGTTGGCGGGCTTGGCTGGCTTGGCTGGCTTGGCTGGCTTGGCTGTCTGGGCTGGCTGACTGGCTTGGCTGGCTTGGATGTTCGGGTGACTTGGCTGGCTTGAGTGGCTGAGAGGATTGCCTAGCTTGGCTGGCCGGCTGGCTTGGCAGGCTGGCTGGCTTGGCTGGCTTGGCTCGCTGGCTGGCTGGCTGGCTGGCTGGCGGGCCTGGCTGGCTAGGTGGCTTGGCTGGCTTGGCTGGCTGGGTGGCTTGGCTGGTTTTGCTGGCTGGGAGGCTTGGCTGGCTTGGCTGGCTGGCTGGCTGACTGACTTGGCTGGCTTGGCTGGCTTGGCTGGCTGGCTTGGATGGCCGGGTGGCTTGTCTGGCTTGGCTGGCCAGCTGGCTTAGCCGCCTGGATGGCTTGGCTGGCATGCCTGGCTTGGCTGGCTGGCTGGTTTTTCTGGCTTGGCTGCCTAGCTGGCTTGGCTGGCCTGCCTGGCTTTGCTTGCTGCCTGGCTTGGCTGGCTTGGCTGCCTGGCTGGCTTGGCTTGCATGCCTGTCTTGGCTGGCTGGCGGGCTTGACTGGCTTGGCTGGCTTGGCTGCCTGGCTGGCTTGGCTGGCTTGGCTAGCTGGCTGGCTGGCTGGCGGGCCTGGCTGGCTAGGTGGCTTGGCTGGCTTGGCTGGCTGGGTGGCTTGGCTGGCTTGGCTGGCTGGGAGGCTTGGCTGGCTTGGCTGGCTGGGAGGCTTGGCTGGCTGGGTGGCTGGCTGGCTTGGCTGGCTTGGCTGGCTTGGGTGGCTGGCTGCCTGGCTGGCTGATGGGCTTGGCTGGCTTGGCTGGCTGGGTGGCTTGGCTGGCTGGGTGGCTTGGCTGGTTTGGCTAGCTGGCTGGCTGGGTAGCTTGGCTAGCTGGCTGGCTTGGCTGGTTGGCTGGCTTGGCTGGCTTGGCTAGCCGGCTGGCTTAGTTGGCTGGATGGCTTGGCTGGCATGCCTGGCTTGGCTGGCTGGCTGGCTTGGCTGCCTAGCTGGCTTGGCTCACATGCCTGGCTTTGCTTGCTGGCTGGCTTGGCTGGCTTGGCTGCCTGGCTGGCTTGGCTGTCTGGCTGGCTTGGCTACCATGCCTGTCTTGGCTGGTTGGCGGGCTTGGCTGGCTTGGCTGGCTTGGCTGGCTTGGCTGTCTGGGCTGGCTGACTGGCTTGGCTGGCTTGGATGGTCGGGTGACTTGGCTGGCTTGAGTGGCTCAGTGGATTGCCTAGCTTGGCTGGCCGGCTGGCTTGGCAGGCTGGCTGGCTTGGCTGGCTTGGCTCGCTGGCTGGCTGGCTGGCGGGCCTGGCTGGCTAAGTGGCTTGGCTGGCTTGGCTGGCTGGGTGGCTTGGCTGGTTTTGCAGGCTGTGAGGCTTGGCTGGCTTGGCTGGCTGGCTGGCTGACTGACTTGGCTGGCTTGGCTGGCTTGGCTGGCTGGCTTGGATGGCCCGGTGGCTTGTCTGGCTTGGCTGGCCAGCTGGCTTAGCCGGCTGGATGGCTTGGCTGGCATGCCTGGCTTGGCTGGCTGGCTGGTTTTTCTGGCTTGGCTGCCTAGCTGGCTTGGCTGGCCTGCCTGGCTTTGCTTGCTGCCTGGCTTGGCTGGCTTGGCTGCCTGGCTGGCTTGGCTGGCATGCCTGTCTTGGCTGGCTGGCGGGCTTGACTGGCTTGGCTGGCTTGGCTGCCTGGCTGGCTTGGCTGGCTTGGCTAGCTGGCTGGCTGGCTGGCGGGCCTGGCTGGCTAGGTGGCTTGGCTGGCTTGGCTGGCTGGGTGGCTTGGCTGGCTTGGCTGGCTGGGAGGCTTGGCTGGCTTGGCTGGCTGGGAGGCTTGGCTGGCTGGGTGGCTGGCTGGCTTGGCTGGCTTGGCTGGCTTGGCTGGCTTGGGTGGCTGGCTGCCTGGCTGGCTGATTGGCTTGGCCGGCTTGGCTGGCTGGGTGGCTTGGCTGGCTGGGTGGCTTGGCTGGTTTGGCTAGCTTGCTGGCTGGGTAGCTTGGCTAGCTGGCTGGCTTGGCTGGTTGGCTGGCTTGGCTGGCTTGGCTAGCCGGCTGGCTTAGTTGGCTGGATGGCTTGGCTGGCATGCCTGGCTTGGCTGGCTGGCTGGCTTGGCTGGCTTGGCTGCCTGGCTGGCTTGGCTGACATGCCTGGCTTTGCTTGCTGGCTGGCTTGGCTGGCTTGGCTGCCTGGCTGGCTTGGCTGCCTGGCTGGCTTGGCTAGCATTCCTGTCTTGGCTGGTTGGCGGGCTTGGCTGGCTTGGCTGGCTTGGCTGGCTTGGCTGTCTGGGCTGGCTGACTGGCTTGGTTGGCTTGGATGGTCGGGTGACTTGGCTGGCTTGAGTGGCTGAGTGGATTGCCTAGCTTGGCTGGCCGGCTGGCTTGGCAGGCTGGCTGGCTTGGCTGGCTTGGCTGGCTGGCTGGCTGGTTGGCAGGCCTGGCTGGCTAGGTGGCTTGGCTGGCTTGGCTGGCTGGGTGGCTTGGATGGTTTTGCTGGCTGGGAGGCTTGGCTGGCTTGGCTGGCTGGCTGGTTGACTGACTTGGCTGGCTTGGCTGGCTTGGCTGGCTTGGCTGGCTGGCTTGGATGGCCGGGTGGCTTGTCTGGCTTGGCTGGCCAGCTGGCTTAGCCGGCTGGATGGCTTGGCTGGCATGCCTGGCTTGGCTGGCTGGCTGGTTTTGCTGGCTTGGCTGCCTAGCTGGCTTGGCTGGCCTGCCTGGCTTTGCTTGCTGCCTGGCTTGGCTGGCTTGGCTGCCTGGCTGGCTTGGCTGGCATGCCTGTCTTGGCTGGCTGGCGGGCTTGACTGGCTTGGCTGGCTTGGCTGCCTGGCTGGCTTGGCTGGCTTGGCTAGCTGGCTGGCTTGGTGGCGGGCCTGGCTGGCTAGGTGGCTTGGCTGGCTTGGCTGGCTTGGTGGCTTGGCTTGCTTGGCTGGCTGGGAGGCTTGGCTGGCTTGGCTGGCTGGGAGGCTTGGCTGGCTGGGTGGCTGGCTGGCTTGGCTGGCTTGGGTGGCTGGCTGCCTGGCTGGCTGATGGGCTTGGCTGGCTTGGCTGGCTGGGTGGCTTGGCTGGCTGGGTGGCTTGGCTGGTTTGGCTAGCTGGCTGGCTGGGTAGCTTGGCTAGCCGGCTGGCTTGGCTGGTTGGCTGGCTTGGCTGGCTTGGCTAGCCGGCTGGCTTAGTTGGCTGGATGGCTTGGCTGGCATGCCTGGCTTGGCTGGCTGGCTGGCGTGGCTGGCTTGGCTGCCTGGCTGGCTTGGCTGACATGCCTGGCTTTGCTTGCTGGCTGGCTTGGCTGGCTTGGCTGCCTGCCTGGCTTGGCTGCCTGGCTGGCTTGGCTAGCATGCCTGTCTTGGCTGGTTGGCGGGCTTGGCTGGCTTGGCTGTCTGGGCTGGCTGACTGGCTTGGCTGGCTTGGATGTTCGGGTGACTTGGCTGGCTTGAGTGGCTGAGAGGATTGCCTAGCTTGGCTGGCCGGCTGGCTTGGCAGGCTGGCTGGCTTGGCTGGCTTGGCTCGCTGGCTGGCTGGCTGGCTGGCTGGCGGGCCTGGCTGGCTAGGTGGCTTGGCTGGCTTGGCTGGCTGGGTGGCTTGGCTGGTTTTGCTGGCTGGGAGGCTTGGCTGGCTTGGCTGGCTGGCTGGCTGACTGACTTGGCTGGCTTGGCTGGCTTGGCTGGCTGGCTTGGATGGCCGGGTGGCTTGTCTGGCTTGGCTGGCTAGCTGGCTTAGCCGGGGG
Source organism: Homo sapiens (assembly GCF_000001405.40). Classification (NCBI taxonomy): domain Eukaryota; kingdom Metazoa; phylum Chordata; class Mammalia; order Primates; family Hominidae; genus Homo; species Homo sapiens. Next base: position 91,525,373 of record NC_000002.12, read on the forward strand.
GATGGCTTGGCTGGCATGCCTGGCTTGGCTGGCTGGCTGGTTTTTCTGGCTTGGCTGCCTAGCTGGCTTGGCTGGCCTGCCTGGCTTTGCTTGCTGCCTGGCTTGGCTGGCTTGGCTGCCTGGCTGGCTTGGCTGGCATGCCTGTCTTGGCTGGCTGGCGGGCTTGACTGGCTTGGCTGGCTTGGCTGCCTGGCTGGCTTGGCTGGCTTGGCTAGCTGGCTGGCTGGCTGGCGGGCCTGGCTGGCTAGGTGGCTTGGCTGGCTTGGCTGGCTGGGTGGCTTGGCTGGCTTGGCTGGCTGGGAGGCTTGGCTGGCTTGGCTGTCTGGGAGGCTTGGCTGGCTGGGTGGCTGGGTGGCTGGCTGGCTTGGCTGGCTTGGCTGGCTTGGGTGGCTGGCTGCCTGGCTGGCTGATGGGCTTGGCTGGCTTGGCTTGCTGGGTGGCTTGGCTGGCTGGGTGGCTTGGCTGGTTTGGCTAGCAGGCTGGCTGGGTAGCTTGGCTAGCTGGCTGGCTTGGCTGGTTGGCTGGCTTGGCTGGCTTGGCTAGCCGGCTGGCTTAGTTGGCTGGATGGCTTGGCTGGCATGCCTGGCTTGGCTGGCTGGCTGGCTTGGCTGCCTAGCTGGCTTGGCTGACATGCCTGGCTTTGCTTGCTGGCTGGCTTGGCTGGCTTGGCTGCCTGGCTGGCTTGGCTGCCTGGCTGGCTTGGCTAGCATGCCTGTCTTGGCTGGTTGGCGGGCTTGGCTGGCTTGGCTGGCTTGGCTGGCTTGGCTGTCTGGGCTGGCTGACTGGCTTGGCTGGCTTGGATGGTCGGGTGACTTGGCTGGCTTGAGTGGCTCAGTGGATTGCCTAGCTTGGCTGGCCGGCTGGCTTGGCAGGCTGGCTGGCTTGGGTGGCTTGGCTCGCTGGCTGGCTGGCTGGTGGGCCTGGCTGGCTAAGTGGCTTGGCTGGCTGGGCTGGCTGGGTGGCTTGGTTGGTTTTGCTGGCTGGGAGGCTTGGCTGTCTTGGCTGGCTGGCTGGCTGACTGACTTGGCTGGCTTGGCTGGCTTGGCTGGCTTGGCTGGCTGGCTTGGATGGCCGGGTGGCTTGTCTGGCTTGGCTGGCCAGCTGGCTTAGCCGGCTGGATGGCTTGGCTGGCATGCCTGGCTTGGCTGGCTGGCTGGTTTTGCTGGCTTGGCTGCCTAGCTGGCTTGGCTGGCCTGCCTGGCTTTGCTTGCTGCCTGGCTTGGCTGGCTTGGCTGCCTGGCTGGCTTGGCTGGCATGCCTGTCTTGGCTGGCTGGCGGGCTTGACTGGCTTGGCTGGCTTGGCTGCCTGGCTGGCTTGGCTGGCTTGGCTAGCTGGCTGGCTGGCTGGCGGGCCTGGCTGGCTAGGTGGCTTGGCTGGCTTGGCTGGCTGGGTGGCTTGGCTGGCTTGGCTGGTTGGGAGGCTTGGCTGGCTTGGCTGGCTGGCTGGCTGGCTGACTTTGATGGCTTGGCTGGCTTGGCTGGCTTGGGTGGCTGGCTGCCTGGCTGGCTGATTGGCTTGGCTGGCTTGGCTGGCTGGGTGGCTTGGCTGGTTTGGCTGGCTGGCTGGCTGGGTGGCTTGGCTAGCTGGCTGGTTTGGCTGGCTTCGTTGGCTGGCTCTCTTGTTTGGTTGGCTGGCTTGGTTGCCTTGTCTGGCTGGCTGACTTGGCTGTCTGGGCTGGCTGCGTTGCTGGCTGGCCTGACTGGCTGGGTGGCTGGCTGTCTTGGCTGGCTTGTCTGGCTTGGCTGGCTGGGTGGCAGGCTGGCCTGGCTGGCTGGATGGCTGGCTGGCCTGGCTGGCTGGGTGGCTGGCTGGCCTGGCTGGCTGGGTGGCTGGGTGACTTGGCTGTCTGGCTGGCTTGCTGGCTGTCTTGTCTGGCTGGGTGGCTTGGCTGGCTGTGTGGCTTGGCTGGCTTGGCTTGCTTGGCTGTCTGGGCTGGCTGGCTTGGCTGTCTGGGCTGGCTGGCTGGCTTGGCTGGCTTGGCTGTCCGCGTGACTTGGCTGGCTTGAGTGGGTGAGTGGATTGGCTAGCTTGGCTGGCTAGCTGGCTTGGCAGGCTGGATGTCTTGGCTGGCTTGGCTGGCAGACTGGTTTGGCTGGCTTGGCTGTCTTGGCTGGCCGGGTGGCTTGGCTGGGTTGGTGGCTTGGCTGGCTTGGCTGCCAGGCCGGCTTGGCTGGCTTGGCTGTCTGGCTGGCTTGGTTGGCTGGCTTGGCTAGCTGACTGTCTTGGCTGGTTGGCTGGCTTGGCTGGGTTGGCTGGCTGGCTTGGCTGGCTGGGTGGCTTGGCTGGCTTGGCTAGCCGGCCGGCTTCGCTGACTTGATGGCTTGGTTGGCATGCCTGGCTTGGCTGGCTGGCTGGCTGGCTTGGCTGGCTTGGCTGGCTTGGCTGCCTGGCTGGCTTGGCTGGCTTGGCTCACTGGCTGGGTGGCTGGCCTGGCTAGCTGGGTGGCTTGGCTGGCTTGGCTGGCTGGGCGGCTTGGGTGGGCGGCTTGGCTGGCTTGGCTGGCTGGGTGGCTTTGCTGGCTTGGCTGGCTGGGAGGCTTGGCTAGTTGGCTGGCTTGGCTGTCTGGGCTGGCTAGCTGGCTTGGCTGGCTTGGCTGGCTGGCTGGCTTGGCTGGCTTGGCTCGCTGGCTTGTCTGGTTTGGCTGCCTGGGCTGGCTGTCTGGCTGGGCTGTCTGGCTGGTTGGCTGGCTTGGCTGGCTTGGCTGGGTGGCCGGCTTGGCTGACTTGGCTGACTGGCTTGGCTGGGTTGGCCAGCTTCGCTGGCTGGCTTGGGTCTCTTGGCTGCCTGGGCTGGCTGTCTGGCTGGGCTGTCTGGCTGGTTGGCTGGCTTGGCTGGCTTGGCTGGGTGGCCGGCTTGGCTGGCTTGGCTCACTGGCTTGGCTGGTTTGGCCAGCTTTGCTGGCTGGCTTGGGTCTCTTGGCTGGCTTTGCTGGGTGGCTGGCTTGGCTGGGTGGCTGGCTGGCTTGGCTGGCTGGCTGGTTTGGCTGGCTGACTGGCTGGGCTGGCTGGGCTCACTGTCTGGCTTGGCCGGCTCGGCTGGCTGGCTGGCTGGCTGGCTGGGCTGGCTTTGCTGGCTGTCTGGCTTGGCTGGCTTGGCTGGCTAGCTGGCTGGCTTGGCCTGCTGGCTTGGCTGCCTTGTCTGGCTGGCTGGCTTGGCTTGCTTGGCTCCCTGGCTGGCTTGGATGTCTTGGCTGCCTTGGCTGGCTTGGCTGGCTGGCTGGCTTGGCTGGCTTGGCTGTTTGGGTTGGCTGGCTGGCTGGTGCTCCTGGGGTGGCTGGCTGGTTTGGCTGGCTGGCTTGCTTGGCTGGCTTGGCTGGCTGGCAGGCTTGGCTGGCTTGGCTGGCTGGCTGGCTTGGCTGGCTTGGCTGGCTGGCAGGCTTGGCTGGCTTGGCTGGCTGGCTGGCTTGGCTGGCTTGGCTGGCTGACTGGCTTGGCTGGTTTGGCTGGCTTGGCTGGCTGGCTAGCTGGCTCACTTGGCTGGCTTGGCTGGGTGGGTGGCTTAGCTGGCTTGGCTGACTGGCTTGGCTGGCTTGGACATTAAATATAATAATATATTTGGTACATTAAATATAAATTGTATACGTTAAATATAAACATCTTTTATACATCAAACATAAACATTTTATACATTAAATGTAAACATATCTTATATGTTAAATATAAACTTCTTTTATACATTAAATATAAGAATACATTTGGTATATTTAATGTATACAGTACATTAAATATAGACATTTTAGACATTAAATATAAGCATATATTCAGCACATTAAATGTAAACATATTTTATACATTAAATATAAATACTGTGTATGTTAAATATAAATATGTATTTTCTATATTAAATGTAAATATGTATCCTGTACATTAAATATAAACATATTTTCTATATTAAATATAAACATGTATTTTGCATAGTAAATATATCTATACATTTTCTATATTAAATATCAACATGTATTATGTATATTAAACAAAGACATATATTTCCCATATTAAATATAAACATATATTTTTATATGTTAAATATAAATATATATTTCCTGTATTAAATATACACATATATATTAAATATAAATATATTTTTCTATATGAAATGTAATCATATTTTAAACATTAAATATAAATATTCGTCTTAGATATGGCCCGTGTTGGAATGTGTAGTAGATTGAGTATATAATGTCTACTCAATATAAAATTTATATTTATATATGCAGTAATGATTCAAGTTGATTGTAGTTAAGAAAAACAAGCTCCAAATTCGAAAGAAATATGTAAGAAGAGAGACAGGAAGAAAAAATAATGAGGCAGGTAAATGCAACAGACAATTCGAGACCCACAAGTGCAGAGCAGGCTTCCCAGACCCAGGTAATGTCTCCTGGGCTGATAGGAAGCCCTCAACCCCCCAAGTCCTTCTCAGCCATAAACCACCTGAGCACAGAGCCACAGGGACCGTGTTGGGGCTGGGCCTCCCGACTTCAGTTCCTCTCATTCTGTGCAAAAGGAAAAACAACTCAGAATCTACAGAGGTTTAGATGTGTGCAGATGTGGACAGAGAAGTCCGGGCACAGTGGTTTACTGCCCAAGAAGACAGTGAGTCCCCGGAGGAATAGAAGAATATACATCATGCTAATATATGTCATCCCAGTACTTTGGGAGGCCGAGGCGGGTGGATCACTTGAGGTCAAGAGTTCGAGACCAGCCTGGCCAACATGGTGAAACCCCGTCTCTACTAAAAATACAGAAATTAGTTGGCCGCGGGGGTGGATGACTGTGATCCCAGATACTCGGGAGACAGAGGCGGGATGAACTGCTTGAACCTGGGAGGAGGAGGTTGCAGTGAGCTGAGATCATGCCATTGCACTCCAGCCTGGGGAAAAGAGCAAGATCCAGTCTCAAAGAAAAAAGAAAAAAAGAAAGAAGTTGTGAGTGCTAAGTTCTCTCTGGATTTTCAGGAGGCCAGTTCTCCAGTCCACAGTGGCCTGGGAGGACAGGGGTTCCTGAGGGTGAACAGAGCCTGTGCCCGGTCAGGTAGGATCATATGTCCCTGAAGTTCAGAACCCAGGAGCATGGGGATGGTCCTGGGGGTTCCTGCTGCACGGAGGGAAGACCCTCTTTCCACAGGGGCCCCGGAGAGCGAGAGGAAGGAGGAGGGCAGGTCAGTGAGTGTGATGGGGTCACAGTGGAGAGGGAAGCAGAAAGAAGTGTTCCCACAGCAAGACACACACACTGTCCATGCTGAAGCTACAGAGAGGACCTCTCCACCTGTGTCTGCCGCAAAGCAGTGGGGCGTCTTCTGGCAGCCCAGAGTCACCTCCAGATCCCACCTGCACCATGCTTCCTGCGGAGACTGCCTGTCTTCCTAATACACTGTCTTCTGACCAGTCTTCCAGACAAATCACCGGTTGCTATATATATATATATTTTTTAATAGCTAATATCTTACACTGATATATTTATATTATATATAAATAATTTTGTGCTTTATGTTTATGCTATATATACAGATGTAGTTAGCTATTTATGTTATATATAATATAAACATGATGTATATTCTTATATTTCTCTGGGGACTCACTGTCTTCTTAATACACTGTCTTCTGACCAAATTCTTCCAGACAAATCAGCTGTTGCTATATATATATATGCTATATATTTTATTGCATAGAATATATTATATATTATATAGCATAGAATATATTATATATTATATATTAATTATATAATATATGTTACATATTACATATTATATATAATATATTATATTATTATGCTATATCTTATATATTATATATGTTATATATGTATATATATTATATGTACACATATACACATACATACACACATGTATATTTTAATAGCTAATATCTTACACTGGTATATTTATATTTCATACGATTATATACAAATATTTTTGTACTTTATGTTTATGCTGTATATACAGATGTAATTAGTTGTTTATGTTATATATAATATAAACATGATGTATATTCTTATTTTCCTGTGAGGACCCACTGTCTTCTTAATACACTGTCTTCTGACCAAAGTCTTCCACACAAATCAGCGGTTACTATATATATATATATAATATTTATATACACATATACACATATATACACACATATGTATATTTTAATAGCTAATATCTTACACTGATATATTTATATTACATATAGTAATATACTAATATTTTTGTACTTTAAGTTTATACTATATATACAGATGTTGTTAGGTATTTATGTTATATATAATATATTAACATGATGCACATTCTTGTATTCTCCTGGGGACTCACTGTCTTCTTAATACACTGTCTTCTGACTAGAATATTCCAGACAAATCACCGGTTGCTCTCTCTCTCTCTCTCTCTCTATATATATATATATATATATTAATAGCTAATATCTTACACTGATATATTTATATTACATATAGTTATATACAAATATTTTTGTACTTTTGTTTATACTATATACACAGATGTAGTTAGCTATTTATGTTATATATAATATATCAACATGATGTATATTCTTATATTCCTCTGGGGACTCACAGTCTTCTTAATACACTGTCTTCTGACCAAACTCTTCCAGACAAATCAGCTGTTGCAGTATATATATATATTTATTTTTTAATAGCTAGTATCTTACACTGTGGCTCATGCCTGTAATCCCAGCACTTTGGGAGGCCGAGGCGGGTGGATCACCTGAGGTCAGGAGTTTGAGACCATCCTGGCTAACACAGTGAAACCCCATCTCTACTAAAAATACAAAAATTGATTGGGTGTGGTGGTGCATGCCTGTAATCCCAGCTACTCGGGAGGCTGAGGCAGGAGAATCGCTTGAACCCAGGAGGCAGAGGTTGCAGTGAGCCGAGATCGTGTTGCTGCACTCCAGACTGGGCAACAGAGCGAGACTCCATCTCACACACACAAAACATCTTACACTGATGTATTTATATTACGTGTAGCTGTATATAAATATTTTTGTACTTATATTCTGTGTACTTATATTCTATATATTATAAAACATTGTATAAAATTATATATGTATAATAAAATGTTACATAAAAATTTTAACATAATACCATTTTATTACATATATTTCTAAATTTAATATAATGAAATTTTATATATAATAATGTATAACATCTCTAAATTTATTATAATACAATGATATATAATTATTTTCTCATATTATAATTATACATAAGGTAATTTATTATAAATAAGATTTTATATAATCTACATTTATTATAATAACATTTTATTACATATAACACATTTCTAAATTTAATACAATAAAATACTATGTATAATAATTTATAACATTTCAAAATTTATTATATAATTTTATTATACAATTATTTTATACATAATTATACATAGTATATAATTGTACTTATAGAAATATAATTATGCATATACAATATGTAATTTTATTTTTACACGGTATATATGTATAATTATGTATTAACAAATATAATATCAATTTTATATACTTATTTACATTAAGTTATATATTATATAAATGATGTTATATATTATATATGTTACATATATTTTTGCTTAATATATTAAATTTAATCTATAAAATTATGTATTAGAAATAAAAGTATTTGCTTAATATATTAAATTTAATCTATAAAATTATATATTAGAAATAAAAGTATTTTACATATACACTACATATAACTTTATTTTTATAAAAATATAAAAGTCATATGGTTAAGTTACTAAAATAATTTATATCAATCTATTCATATAAAATATACACAATGCGTATTTCTATAAATACAAAGTATATAAAACTTTTACCAGTAGGATGCAAAGAGTTGCTGACCGTCTGCAGAAATCCTGAACCTCTGGAAGCAGAATAAAATCTTACCTCCCAGTCTGCTTTGAAAGGAACAGTAAAGCAGTCCCGAACCCCAAACCCACCCTAAGGGGAGATGGGGGAGTTGGGATGGACGCGTTGACCAGTGAGGACTTTCCTTTGCTGGTTTTGAGGTGTCTTAGCCCAGAAGCTAAGATGGGAAGTGATTCTGGAGCAGGTGAGCTGATCACAAGCCTGAGCCAAGAATCCATGGAGCTCATAAATAGCAGAAGCCGGGACCCTGTGCAAATCCTTCTGAAATATTCTCCATTTACTGGGCTCCTAGGGGTGGGGAAGAAAAATTCCCTGACATTTCGGCCTCAGGGAAAGAGAGAGACACCCCACTGGCCGGAAGCCTCTGCTATTTTTCAGAAGACAGCTGGGGCATCACCCTTTCCCAAATGACGGTGATTTTCAGAGTGGTTCACTTTTTGGAGAGACATTTCTGCCCTGGAGATCCATACATATTGAACCCAAATGAATATTTTTTAATTAAAAAGAATTAAACTTTAGAAAGTTCAATATTGAGGCAGCTACGAGTTTGAATTCCTCATTTTTCCTAAATGCATGTTGTCAAAATCTGTATTGCATTTAGTAACTACTTATGTTTCTAAAGTATATAAGGTTACACAATGTTTTCTTCTTTTTCTGCTCCTCAGGGTCAGAATTTGAAATAAAAGTTTTGGAAAGAAAAAACACTCTTGTCTGTTTGTGCAAAAATAAAAGAACCCATATTTTAAGAATATTTTAAAATAAATACAAATTTTGTGTGTGGGGTTGCTTATAAGAATTCTTCATATCCTAAATCAAAGATAGATCTTGTTATTAACCAGAAAACAAAATGTGTGTGTATAAATGTACAACACTCTTACACTCACACAAACACAGGCACACATGCACACACACACATTCACACACTCACTGATGTACTCACACAAACACAGGCATTCATGTATAAATACACACATAAGCGTGTATTTATAGAAATATAATTATGCACATACAATATATAATTTTATTTTTACATAGTATATATACATAATTATGTATTAACAAATATAAGATCAATTTTATTATATACTTATTTACATAAAGATATATTATATAAATGATGTTATATGGCATGTATATATCACATATAACTTTGCTTAGTATATAAAATTTAATCTATAAAATTATGTATCACAAATAAAAGTATATTTTACATATACACTATATATAACTTTATTTATATGAACTATAAAAATCATGTTTATATTAATAAAATATATTTATATCAATATATTAATATAAAATATGCACAATGTATATTTATATAAAAATTTTTAATTAAAAAATATTCATTTGGGTTCAATATGTATGGATCGCCAGGGCAGAAACGTCTCTTCAAAAGGTGAACCCTTCTTAAAATCACCGTCATTTGGGAAAGAGTGATACCCCACCTGTTTTCTGAGAAACAGCAGAGGTGTACGGCCAGCGGGGTGTCTCTCTCTTTCCCTGAGGCCGAAAAGTCAGGGAATTTTTCTTCCCCACCCCTAGGAGCTCTGTAAACCGGGGATATTTCAGAAGGATTTGCACAGGGTCCCAGCTTCTGTTGTAAATGAGCTCCATGGATTCTCGGCTCAGACTTGTGATCAGCTCACCTGCTCCAGAATCACTGACACAAATGCAACCACACACTTACACAAACACACATCAACACAAAGACAGACAGAATCACAAAACACACTCATAGAAACACATGGACACACGAAGACATGCACACTCACACAAATGCAGGGACACACACACAAACACAATTACAAAAATGTGTGGGTTTTTTGCACACGTGGGTGCACATGCACATTGACATTCTCACAAAGCACACAAACACGTATACATACAAAGTCACTCATAAACAGAATCATGAAAACACTCTCATATAAACGCGTGGATGGCTACTCACCCACACAGACACTCACATATGTCATACACACTCATAGACACACTCAGAATCACACAAGCACACACAAACACATAAATACAGTCACACACTCATGGAAACACAGTCACAAAAAGACTCACATAATCATGTAGACACACAAACATAAAAATTCACACACTGGGGCCGGGCAAGGTGGCTCACGCCTGTACTCCCAGAACTTTGGGAGGCCGAGGCGGGCAGATAACTTGAGGTCGGGAGTTCCAGACCAGCCTGGCCAACATGGTGAAACCCCATCTCTACTCAAAAATACAAAAATTAGCCAGATGTGGTGGCTTATGCCTGTAATCCCAGCTACTCAGGAGGCTGAGGCAGGAGAATCATTTGAACCCGGGAGGCAGAGGTTGCAGTGAGCCAAGATCACACCACTGCACTCCAGCCTGGGCGACAGAACGAGACTCCGTATCAAAAAAGAAAAATTAGCCAGATGTGGTGGTGGGTGCCTGTAATCCCAGGTACTCAGGAGGCTGAGGCAGAAGAATCGTTTGAACCCGGGAGGCGGAGGTTGCTGTGAGCTGAGATTGTGCCTTTGCACTCCAGTATGGGTGACAGAGCGAGACTCCGTCTCAAAAAAAAAAAAAAAGAATTTATACATTGCCATACAGATTCACACACATACACTCATATTCACAAACACACAAATACGATAAACGCAGGGGCACACAAAAACACCATCACAAAAACACACTTCCATAAAACACAGGAATGCACGCTCACACAGAAACACGCATGGAAACACACGTTGTCTTACAGACTCACAGACACACTCATCATCACATAAACAGGCACACACACACAGCCACACAAGCACACACCCACACCCACATCAACACACACACTCCCACACGGCACACACGCGCTCACGCACACAGGTAGAACAGGCCTGCATTACCTGATAACGCAGTGAAATCAGACGTGATGCTGCCTGCTGAGGAGACCTGGAGGCTTCCCATGAATGGGCTTTCAGAAGAGAGGTCTCTGGGTGCATTTGGTGACACCCCAGGCAGTGGGGGAGACGTCCAAGCTAGGCTAGAAGGCCAGCCACAGCCAGCTCTGCCCAAGGATGCCACGTCCATTTGCTTCAGTAGGATATGTACCCTGGAAACCCAGCTTCCTGCCTCTCCAGGAAACCCCACTGAGGTCAGCACATCCCCCCAGGTTTAGAAGGGGTCTCTGGGTGCATCTGGTGACACCCCAGGCGGGGGGGGTGGAGACATCCAGGCTGGAAGGCCAGCCACAGCCAGCTCTGCCCACGGATGCCACGTCCATTTGCTTCAGTAGGATCTGCACCCTGTAAACCCTGGTTCCTGCCTCTCCAGGACACCCCACTGAGGTCAGCACCCCCCACCCCCCACCCCCAGGTTTGTGCAGCTTCACTATCTGGGGAGAGACACAGAAAGACCACATTCGGTGGAATTCTGGCTATAACCTTTTGTGGCCGGCAAGAAGGATCACCAAGCTGTCCTGTTACCTTGCTGGAGAGATCACTGGTTTCACGCTTGGCCCCCGTGCAGTGAGTGCCTGGGCCAGGCTCGATTCTTGGAGCTCCAGTGAAATTTGGGCTTGGAGCTCACACCTGCACCATCCAGAAAGCAGAAGGCAGCTGGCCCGGGCTGTACGGTTCGTAGAATCAGAGAGAACACTGCTTGCCTTCATGTCTGTACCACAATAAATCTGCCAACTGTGGTCAAAGTCTCTGGATTCCTGCCCCCTCATTTTATTTTGTCTATTATGGAGTGGAAGGAGTGAGAAAGATTTTGCTTCCTATTTTGTTTTGCAAGGCGTTTCTAAGAAAAACAACCCGTGTTCGGCAAACGACATTCTGAGTGTCCCCTGGGCGTGACGAAAACAAACTTTGGGAATCCAAGGGCCTGAGAGGCAGAGTGAATGTCATTCACATTTCCCTGCGAATGACAAAGTCACTTTTTATTTATTATTATTATTATTATTAATTATTATTATTATAGATTCAGGGGATCCACGGGCAGCTTTGTGTCCTGGGGATATTGTACGATGCTGAGGTTTGGGGTATGAATAATCCCGTCACCCAGGCGCTGAGCATTGTACATTCCTGAGGTATATAATGTGTACTAAAAATAAAATGTATATTTATATATGCACTAATGATTCAACTTGATTCCTTGTAATTAAGAAAAACAAACCCCAAATTCGAGAGGAGTTCTAGAAATATATAAGAAGAGGGCCAGGTGCAGTGGCTCATGCCTGTAATCCCAGCACTTTGGGAGGCCAAGGCAGGCAGATCACCTGAGGTCAGGAGTTCGAGACCAGCCTGGCCAACATGGTGAAACCCCGTCTCTGCTAAAAATACAAAAATTAGCCAGGTGTGGTGGCAGGTGCCTGTAGTCCCAGCTACTTGGGAGGCTGAGGTAGAAGAATTGCTTGAATCCAGGAGGCAGAAGTTGCAGGGAGCCGAGATTGCACCACTGCACTCCAGCCTGGGTCACAGAGTGAGACTCCATCTCAAAAAAAAGAAAAAAAAAAAGAGAGAGAGAGAGATAGAAAACAAACAAGCAAGAAAATGCAACAGAAAAATCCGTGACCCAAAGATCTCTCCAGTTGCTGCCTTCTGCCTGAAATTCAAAGAATCTCAGGGTAGTTTTTCAACCCTTGTACCCCCGCCCCTGCTTCCTACTCTATTAGTCCTGAGGGTCTGTGGTGCCCCTTCATTGTGTCCAGGTGCAGGCAATGTTTAGCTCCCACCTATAAGCAAAAACATGTGGTATTTTATTTTCTGTTCCTGGCGTTAATTCACTAAGCATAGTGCCCTTCAGCTTCATCCATGTGACTGCAAAGGACATGATTTTATTCTTGTTCATGGCTGTGTAGTATTCCATGATGCGGAAGGACCACATTTACTTTATCTAATTGAGAACATGTGGTATTTGATTTTCTGTTTCTGGCATTAATTCACTAAGCATAATGCCCTTCAGCTTCATCCACGTTGCTGCAAAGGGCATGATTTTATTCTTGTTCATGGCTGTGTAGTATTCCATGATGCAGAAGGACCACATTTGCTTTATCTAGTGCAGAACATGTGGTATTTGATTTTCTGTTCCTCATATTGATTCACTAAGCATAATGCCCTCTGGCTGCATCCATGTGGCTGCAAAGACATGATTTTATTTTTTTCATCACTGTGTAGTATTCCGTGGTGTAGAAGGGCCACATTTGCTTTATCCAGTTGAGAACATGTAGTATTTCATTTTCTGTTCCTGGCATTAATTCACTAAGCATAATGTCCTTCAGCTGTGTCCATGTGGCTGCAAAGGACATGACATTATTCTTTTTCGTGGCTGTGTAGTATTCCATGGTGTAGAAGGGCCACAATTGCTTTATCCAGACAAGAACATGTGGTATTTGATTTTCTGTTCTTGTGTTAATTCATTAAGCATAATGCCCTCCAGCTACATCCATGTGGCCGCAAAGGACATGATTTTATTCTTTTTCATGGCTGTGTAGTATTCGATGCTGTAGAAGAACCACTTTTGCTTTATCTGGTACCCCACTGATGGGCAACTAGGTTGATTCCATGACTTTCCTATTGTAAGTCGTGCTGTGATGAACCTTACAGGGCCAGGCACTGTAATCCCAGCACTCTGGAGGGCCAAGGTGGGCAGATCACCTGAGGTCAGGAGTTCGAGACCAGCCTGGTCAATATGGTGAAACCCTGTCTCTACTAAAAATACAAAAATTAGCCAGGCATGGTGGCGCATGCCTGTAATCCCAGCTGCTCAAGAGGCTGAGGCAGGAGAATCACTTGAACCCTGGAGGCAGAGGTTGCAGTGAGCCGAGATTGCTACTGCACTCCAGCATGGGAAATAGAGTGAGACTCCATCTCAAAAAACAAACAAAAAAAAGGAACTTTACCATGCATGTGTCTTTTTGGTAGAATGACTTCTTTTCCTTTGGGTAGATGCCCAGTCTTGGAATTGCTGGTGCAAATGGTGGAGCAGTTTGGATTCAGGAGGTACATGTACAGGTTTCTTACATGGGTACGATGTGTGATGCTGAGGTCTGGGGTATGAGTGATCCCATCACCCAGGTAGTGAGCATAATACCCCACAGTTGGTTTTTTCAACTCTTGTCCTTCTACCTTCCTCTCTCCCCCTAACTAGACCCCAATATCTGTTCCCTTCTCTGTGTCTACATATACACAACATTTAGCTCCCACTTATAAGTGAGAACACGCAGCATTCTATTAATTTACTTAAGATAATGGCCTCCACACTGTTCACAATAGCAAAGATGTGGAACCAACCCAAATGCTCATCAGTGATAGACTGGATAAAGAAAATGTAGCACATAGACACTGTGGAATACTATGCAGCCATGAAAAAGATGAGTTCATGTCCTTTGCAGGGACATGGATGAAGCTGGAAACCCTCATGTTCAGCAAAGTGACACAGGAGCAGAAAACCAAACAGTGCATGTTCTCACTCATAAGTGGGAAGTGAACAATGAGAACACATCAACCCAGAGAGGGGAACATCACACACTGGGGCCTACTGCAGGGGTGGGGGACTGGGAAAGGGACAGCATTATGAGAAATATCTAATGTAGATGATGGGTTGATGGGTGCAGCAAACCGCTATGGCACATGTATATCTATGTAACAATCCTGCACATTCTGCACATATACCCCAGAACTTAAAGTAGAATAGAAAAAAAATAATAAAAATAATTAAAAAAGATAATGGCCTCCAGCTACATCCATGTTGCTGCAAAAAAAAAAAAAAAGAAAAAGAAAAAAAAAAAAAACAACAACCGTGATTTTGTTCCTTTTCAGGGTTGCGTAGTAGTCCATGGTGTAGATGTACCGCGTTTTCTTTGAGGGTGGGAGGAGGGAGAAGATCAGCAAAAATAACCTGTGGCTGGGTATGGCAGCTCACACCTGTATTCTCAGCAGTTTGGGAGGCTGAGGTGGGTGGATCGCCTGAGGTCAGGAGTTTGAGATCAGCCTGGCCAACATGGCAAAACCCTATCTCTACTAAAAGTACAAAAATTAGCCGGGCATGGTGGTGCATGCCTGTAATCCTGGCTCCTCTGTAGGTTGAGGCAGGAGAATCTCTTGAACCCAGGAGGCAGACATTGCAGTGAGCTGAGATCGTGCCACTGCCCTCCAGCCTGGACCACAGAGTGGGACTCCATCTCAAAAAATAATCATAAAAATAATAATAACAACCTGCTAGGCTTAGGACCTAGGTTGATTCCATTACAAAAAACAAAACAAAAGAAAACAAAAAACTAACTTTTTAAAAGAAGGATCTCTCTGTTCAAAAACAAAACCAATGCCCTGTCAGGAAAGATGTTCTGTGTTTCTGGTAAAGCTGGAAGGAACCTACAGGAAGGAGTCACCCCATAAAACTAGTGGAGCAGCATTGCCTTTTGGGGTGAGGGCTGCTTCTGTTAGGCCACCAGGATGAGTGCCTTCCTGGGGAGTGTGGTTCATCCTATACCATCCAGGAAGCAATTCCTGCCCCCAAATCACCTGCCAGCTTCGGCCCTGTAAGTAAAATCCCCAGCAAGCGGGCAGCAAGGAGCTGCTTGCCTTGGAAGGCAGCTGAAGTCTCTGCCCACCACCCAGACTGTGTCCTCTGGGCAAGGCCAGGGCTTCCAGTTGGATGGTTTTCACATTAACGGCTGCTGTTTAGAATCATCAACATTGGCCAGGCGGGGTGGCTCATGCCTGTCATCTCAGCACTTTGGGAAGCCGAGGCGGGTGGATCACAAGGTCAGGGACCAGCCTGGCCAACATGGTGAAACCCTGTCTCAACTAAAAAAAGAAATACAAAAATTAGCTTGGTGTGGCTGGGCATGGTGGCTCATCCCTGTAATCCCAGCACTTTGGGAGGCCGAGGCGGGCAGATCATGAGGTCAGGAGATCAAGACCATCCTGGCTAACATGGTGAAATGAAACCCCGTCTCTACTAAAAATACAAAAAATTAGCCAGGCACGGTGGCAGGCACCTGTAGTCCCAGCTACTCGTGAGGCTGAGGCAGAAGAATGGCATGAACCTGAGAGGCGGGGTTTGCAGTGAGCCCAGATTGCGCCACTGCACTCCAGCCTGGGCGATATAGAGTGAGACTCTGTCTCAAAAAACACAAAAAAATAAAAAATTAGCCTGGTGTGGTGGTGGGCACCTGTAATCCCAGCTACTCAGGAGGCTGAGGCAGGAGAATTGCTTGGACCCCGGAGGCAGAGGTTGCAGTGAGCCGAGATCGCGCCATCGCACTCCAGCCTAGACAACAGAACAAGACTCTGTTGTAAAAAAAAAAAAAAAAAAAAAAAAGAATCATCAACATTGCCTTGGCCCCATCTCTTCCCAGACTTGTCAGATCTTTACCACTGGACCTCCATGTTCTAGTTTCAAAGCTCTGCTGGCCACAGTGGCTCATGTCTGTAATCCCAGCACTTTGGGAGGCTGAGGTAGGAGGACTGCTTGAACCCAGGAGCATGAATCCATCCTAGGCAACATAGTGATAATAGTGTCAAATGAGAGCCAGTGTCCAGTAATTCCCCAAATATCTGAGAATTTTCTTTTCTTTAAGTCACAGTCATCCTGGCAGAAGGCTGTAAGTCCCTTTGGGGAAGACTGGGAAAAAGATTAACAATGTAAATTTTTGGCAACGTAGCAGCGTACTTCCCCAAGATCACCCAGCCTCCCCTTCACTTAAGGGGTTGTGGGCCTGTGAACTGGCTCAAGTCTGGGAATTGATTGAGGGTTTTAGAACTGTGTTTCATTAATTTGAGTTAGTCTTTTATTCAGTTGACCTAGAATTCTTCATTTTTTAAAGAACAACTAAGACTTTGGTACAGCCCATTAGCTCTCCCTGTGGATACCATGGACTACACAATGCCGTGGGTGTCTGTGAGTCAAACCATTCTGACTGCTGCTTTGACACTGCTTTCCACTGTGGTGACCACACCCACCTCATCTTTGGTGATTAAGGACAGCCCATGTTCCCTGCCACCCCAGGATTCAATTATCCTCATTTTACTTAAAGATCCCAGTCCAGTGGCTGCAGTTCCTGCTGTAACATTTTGCCTACTGAGAGCACAAGCTCAAAGCTCTTCCAGGATACTGGGCTCCTCTCACAATATTCTTTCTCATGATCGTTGTGAGGAGTATGTTCCGTAGACCCTCCAGTGTGAGTGAGCAGGTCTGACATAATAAATCCAGTCTCCCTGAGTTTTTGCATACCTTTCTGTACACATAAACCAAGGAAGTTGTGGCATCTCAACTTTATGTACCTTAGGTAAACTCTGATTCTGTTTCAGCCAACCAACCAAGTCACCAAACAAGCAAACAGCCAACCAATCAACCAACAAGCAAGCAAGCAACAAACCAACCAAACAACCAAGCAAGGAAGCAAGCACCAACCAACCAAGCAAACAACCAACCAAGTAACCGATCAAACCAACCCTTGGAGCCCTTTCTAAAGCTTTGACCTACAACCCTGAGTCCAGAATCTCTGTTTAGTGGGCCAACATTAATAAATTTAGCCTAATCCAACTTTATGTTACTTCCACCATGGTGCCACACACTTAATATCCATTCCCACATATATTCTCCAGATTTCCTTCTGTATAAATTGCGTGTGTGTGTGTGTGTGTGTGTGTGTGTGTGTGTGTAGAAAGAGAGCATCAACTAAAAAATCACACAATTTTATAAATTTAGAAAAGAGAGCTTTATTTCTTATATAGGTTTGCAGTCTGCAAGGTGGCCATTATGACAGGCTGGGAAGTGTGGCCTACAGCCAAGGCCAGAGGCAGGCATTTCCAGGGAGGGAAGGAGAGGACAGGAATTTGAGCCAAATGAGTTGGCTACATATACATACTCAATAGGATATCAGAGGAGCTATATCATTTTATGAGAATACTCATAAAAGAGGTCCTAATGAATGCATATTCAATAAACATGCATGTTCATTCTGGGGTGGAGACTTGACATTTAAATGTATTATAATTAGGCCCTACACATCAAAAAGTGAAGCAGGGACATGAAGGTACTCAGCCTCTGTACAGGCACAGCCTCCAAAACTGGCCAGAACCAGTCCATGGAGGATGGTCTCTTATCAGGAGAAAGTTACTGAAATCAGTCCCTTGTCCAGAGAAAGCTGTCATTAAGGTTAGTGGGGCAGGAGATCAGTTACTCAGCGTCTGTGAACTGGGTGAGTTGTAATTGTTTTAATCTTGCTTCTCTCACAGCCAGTGCTTGCTTGGTTGCTAGAGAAAAATAAAACCCACGTGGTAGTTAGAATCTAGTTAATTCTTTAAGAGTAGGCTACAAGACTTAACGCTCGCCTGGCATGGCCCTAGGTCCTGTTTATAATTTGAGGTCTTATTGCCACAAAGAGTCTGTTCTGTCAGTCTCATGATCTCTATTTTAACATTAATGCTGTTCAGTTGTGGGGTCTAAACCATAAGAGGGAGGGAGGTACAGGGAGGTATGTCTGACCTCCTGTCCTGTCATGGCCAAGAACTGAATTTTAAGATTTATTTGAGGTTCCGTTGGCCAACAGGGGGTCTGTTAAGTCGGGTGGGGGGCTTAGGATTTTATTTTTAGTTTTCAAGGGAGATAAAATAATTTAATCAATTGGCCCCTGTGACTGTGGGACTAACATGGCTATGATCTGTCGGACAGACTTCAGGCTGGCACCCAGGCAAAATTCTATGCTGTAGTAAATGCATCATGCACATTTGTAACAACACGTACATAACAATGTCACAAAATACTTTCACGGTGACACCTAGATTGGTATTTTATTGAATAGCTGATGATATAAACTGGCTCATTTGATGCCAAGACTGACCATCACCACCATACCAAGGTCATCACTGATCAGAGGCCTAACCCAAGGAGGGGGTCATGTGCAGACCCAGCAGTGGGGAGGAAAGATGCTGCAGAGGAGACGGATGCCCACAGAGGCCCCTGAGCGGACACAATGCTCACTAAGTGGTAAGTATAGACTCAACGTAGGCTGTAAGGTCTCCCCCTGTGCAAATGGGACCCCGTCCACTTGAGAGTCAAGGGTCTGTTTGGGTGGCAGGGATAGCCACTTCTGAAGGTAGAAAGGAAAATAAGCCACCAAATTGGTACCTTTCTGTGAAATGGACATCGTGCTTAGAATCTCCATTTTCCCCACAACCTGGAGGAATAAGTACTGTCATCTGCATTTTGTAGCTGAAGAATCTGACTCAACAAAATTAAATTACTCACCTAAGCAATTAGCAATTAACCAAGTCTTTCTGACTCAGAAACCCAGCTGTTGCCTGTTCATATCCAGCCCCTGTATTGGGGTCAAGATCTGGCCTGTTCTCAATGCAGCAAGATCCAGGCAGATCACACTGGACTCCCAGCACTGAATCTGGCTCGAGGGGACATCAAATTTGACTGGGTCATGGGGCTCAGGAGCATCACTCTCAAAAATAGCAGTACAGGAAGAGGCGATGGCCCTAAACAGCATTTGCAGGCAGATCCCATGTTAATCGTAAGGGTCAGGACTCTCACTTTTCTGTCTCTCTCTCTCTGTCTCTCATCTAGGGCTGACCCCACATTGGACACCACTGCATCCATGTCCATCACACACCACAGCTGCCTTTTCTTCTGCCTGCTTATGGGAAAGTCCCCTCCTCTCCTCCATTTTCTTCTCTTCCTGCCCTATCACACCGTGCACTTCTCCCTTTCCTTAAAGAACCACCATCAACTTTAGGAGGAGGGAAAGGGGTGGCTCTGGCAGGAAAAGCCAGAATCCCCTCTAGCCAGCAGAGAGAGAGGAATGGCTGCCTGTTTTCTCCCCCAGTCCAAGGCACTAGGTTTTGGCTAGGTTGCAGGTTCCAAGCTGCTCTCCTGCTGTGTCGGTGAGTTCTGGTCAACCTGCAACCTCCTGATGTGGCCACTGCAGTTCATCGAGTCTTCAGGGACTCCCCATGGCCTGGAGTACTTTGCCTTGCTTACACGGGAGAGGAGAATGGATTTATAGGGAACATCATCTAAATCCAACTTGACCATTGTGTGGCCACACTTGCTAGATTGCTATAGTCTAAATCTAGCATTGTAGAAAGACGGGGGAGCTTGGAGCTGCACAAACCCAGGTCTGGAACTGGCTCCCTACCTTGAAAGGTGAATGATCCTGGCAGGACTCAGCCTCCCTGGGCCTCAGTTTCTTTATCTGTTTCTTGCTGGTTGGTTGGGTGATGTGGGGGCTGTGTGAAAACAGCTTGTCAATACAAGCCGAAATAGGAATATTTCTCCACAGAGTATGAAGGTCAAATGAGAGAATACATTTAAATTAAATGGAAAATTAAAATGGCAAAAAAGGCAAAGTTGTATTGAAAGTTCCAAGCTTCTCTATAAGGAGCTTTTTGACTATGTAAGAATCCGGTACTCGTTCCCCCTAAATATAAAAAAAAAAGTTGAAGGAGGAAGAAGGGAGAGTGATGCATGATGGGCGAGGACTTCACCTGCTGTTGCTGGCTTTGAGGATGGAGGAAGGAGGCCACAAACCTAGAAGCTGGAGCCCCTAGAAGCTAGAAAAGGCAGGGACCCGATTCATCCCTTGAGCCTCCAGAAGGGACATAGCCCCACCAGCACCTTGACTTTAGCCCAGTGAGATCCTCTTAGGACTTTTGGCAACCAGAACTATAAGACAGAAATGGAAGCCACTGAGTCTG
Organism: Homo sapiens; assembly: GCF_000001405.40. NCBI lineage: Eukaryota > Metazoa > Chordata > Mammalia > Primates > Hominidae > Homo > Homo sapiens. Next base: position 91,545,924 of record NC_000002.12, read on the forward strand.
TAGCTGTTTGTTGCAGCAGCAATAGAAAACTAATGCAGAGCCCAAGAAATCACTGGTGATGAGATGGGGAAGTGGGCTCAGGAGGTCTGGATCTGTGATGAGATGGGGAAAGTGGGGGAGGTCTGGATCTGTGATGAGATGGGGAAAGTGGGCTCAGGAGGTCTGGATCTGTGATGAGATGGGGAAAGTGGGGGAGGTCTGGATCTGTGATGAGATGGGGAAAGTGGGCTCAGGAGGTCTGGATCTGTGATGAGATGGGGGAAGTGGGCTCAGGAGGTCTGGATCTGAGTTGGGGATCTGGAGTGGAAGGGGAATTCATTTGTTCATTGTCTATCCTTTTGCATTGATTGAGTTTTTATATATATATATATATGTGAATTTTCACAATAAAAGTTTTTTCCAAAATAAAATAAACAAAAGGGGCTTTTTGCAACCCAATTCCTATCTATGTCTGAGTCCACTTGTATTGAATGAATCTTTCTGCTAACGTCCTTATATTTGGGTGACAATCTGAATGTCAGTGACCAATCAGAGCAGAGGCAGACCTTGGAGTGGGCAGGGCACCCTGAGGGCCCTGATTCCCGCCATGAGGCATAACCCTTTAGGTGCCAGACCACGGGGAGGTCCAGGGGTTGCAGGGGAGGGCTGTGCATCTGCAATGACTCTCAGGGGACTCCCGGTGGTGGCAATTGGTGAATCTGCACGGTGGTGTTTCAATATTGTGACAACCCTGCTGTCTCTCATGCTCTTAAAAAGCATTTCTCTTACCTGTGACAGACTTCCTATACCTAACAGCTTGCAAAAATGTTCCAGATTAATGAGAATAATCTCTCGGAGCCATACCTCCCTGCTTGGGGTCTCAGTTTCCCCAACTGTCTCCAGACAAGTTAGGCTAGAAGGCCCCTGAGCCTCAGCCCCTCTATACCCCTCCTGTCACCCAGACCTGATCTGGGTCTTGCACCCTGGGTGCAGCAAGACAGGGGTGGGCAGGGGCTGGCTCTGGGCCAGAGGACCCTTTCTGATGGACTTCAGCTGTTGGCCTTCCAGGGGAGACTGATCAACCTCACAAGAGTCATACGGTGAGTAGCAGTGGGCAGATCCATCCCCCTCATCTTAGATTTATGGGGAGACAGAGAGAAAGAGGAGACACTCCAGGAAGACCTGCAGGTGGGAGTACCAGGTTGAAACCAAGGACACATTCCTGGAGGAGCTGCTGTTTGAGCCAGCTCTGAGAACAGGTGGGGACAGGACTGGAGAGGAGGAGGGGGTCCCCTATGAGCAAAGACTGGCCACCACCCCATCTAACACCCCCACAGGGCCCCTGTGGCATCCCTGTCCAGTCCCTGTCACCACCCAGTTTTTCCCTCTGGACCCAGGAATTCAAAGTAAGCAAGGAGGTCCACTGCTCCAGTTGACTGCAAATAATTACAACCTTGAGCCCAAGCAGCACTTTGGGTCCTGGTTTGGGACCACGAAGCGGCTCGGTGAGACTGAGAGGTAAGGCCAGGACAGGAATTGGGATAGTAGGATTGAACTCTCCCTGGGGGCCAGCCTCAGAAAGCCTGTGGCCATGGCCTCTTGGCCAACATCAGATCCTGTGGTCTGGCAATGCCTGGGGTACCCAGACCTCACTCTGGACAGGCCCTGGGAGGGGGCCCTGGTGAGATTCCTGGCAGCCTCACAGCCACTCTTCTGTCCGTAGCTACAACATGTCATGCCAGCTGGAGGCTCCATCCCAGTTGGCTGGGAGCACAAAGGCCAGGAAGATAGACATCACCCACCACAGGGGCCAGTCGGGGCCTGAACCAGGGCGGGCAGAGGTTGGCTGCCTTGGGATATGGGTGGGCTCAGGGAGTCAGACAGCAAGGGACTAGCCTCCCATCCTACTGCTGACCAGCTCTGTGACTGGAGAGAGTCACCTTACTTCTCTGGGCCGAGTTTCCCCCTCTGTGGAGTGACACTAAATGCTCTCTCTGGAGACTGGGATCAACAGGGCACTGGTGATTGACCAGGCACTCAGCACATGCCTGGAGCACACAGTGCAGGGCTGTGGTGGGGAGGTGGCCTGAGTTCCTGGGGAGTCACCCATGTGTGCCTGCCCTTCTGACCAGCCACCAGGCCCTCAGGGCAGAGCCTACTACCAGCAGCAGCTCACACCCCGAGACCAGCTCAGAGGCAGCCCCTACCTCAGCAGCAGGGACATCACGGACACTTTGAGCTGCTACTAGGGTGGCTTCCCCAGCTCCCACGTGGAGAGGGGTCCCAGCTGAGTCCCACTCACGTGGAGTCTCATGCCCATGAAAGTGCCATTCACCACTGGTCAGGCTCAGGAGGCCGCATGAGGGGGGGGTCACTGGGGAGGAGATATTGGGGTAACAGAGAGGGTGGTTGAATTTTTGTATAATAGGCAGTGCAAGTGTTTACCGTTTGGGAGGGGAAAGGTTTGTTATTATTAGCAATGCTACACTTGAATATTATACTAAAATCCACTTTCTCTATAACCTGGGAGTTGCTCTTTTGTTCTTTCTTTTCCCATCTTAATTAAAATGAGATGCAGACTCTCACGGTCCACAGTCGATTAAGAAATCTTGCACGGCCATCAGGTTATGTCTTGGAGAGCAGAGTTTCAGTACCATCAGCCTGGCAAGGAGCTGGGCCTGCTCCTCAGAGCTCCCGGGACTGTGAGAATTGGCATGTTCACAGGGCACTGTCACAGCCTCTGAAACACGCTGTCTTTAAAGACGTTTGCAGGCTGGACGCGGTGGCTCACTCCTGTAATCCCAGCACTTTGGGAGGCAGAAGCGGGTGGCTCACTTGAGGTCAGGAGTTTGAGACCAACATGGCCAACATGGCAAAACCCCATCTCTACTAAAAATACAAAAAATTAGCCAGGTGTGGTGGCAGGTGCCTGTAATTCCAGCTACTCAGGAGGCTGAGGTAGGAGAACTGCTTGAACCCAGGAGGCGGAGGTTGCAATGAGCAGAGATCACACCACTGCACTCCAGTCTGGGCAACAAGAGCAAAACTTCATCTCAAAAAAAAAAAAAAAAAACACAAAGACATTTGCAAGGACCATGTCCTCACCCAGAATGGTGCCTGCCTTTCTACAGTTTTTCAGGAAGAGGAAACATTTTCTGCTTCTCTCGCTGAGGTTTTTTTTAACCACACATTAGGAACCTATAGATTTCAGAATGGAACACTGGGATTCCCTCAGCACTAAAGGAGGAAAATTGCAAACAGAGCTGAAAGTGCAATGTGCAAAGGTCAGGCTGAGGAAGGTTCTTAGCCAGTAGACCAAGGGCAGGAAGGACACTGCCTCCTCAGTCTCCCACTTTGTGATTCTTGTCCCCTGACCTCAGAATTCCTTGTCATGTTTGTTTTGTCTCCAAGGGAAGGGTTTGAATTACAGAATTTAAGGCTAGAATGGGCCTCGTGCAGTTAACATTAACCCTCTCTCTCCTTCGCTGGCCGAGGTGAAGTCCAGGAACATGTAGTTCTGATGTCCACTCTCTCGGGGGATCACCAGTTCACCCATCTCACCCGGCCAGCTGGGCTCTAGTTTGGCGACAGGCATCTTCCACCCACCTGGGAGGCAGGGTTCAATACTCTGCCTCTGACCTTGTTTCCTTCTTCTGCCATCTGCTTAGGTAGCCAGAAGGGGTTGTCCAGCCAGCACCTGGGCTTTGGCACTCCTCAAGAAGGTGGAGGAAGTTTCAGGCACCTGACTCCTCAGGTGTCTGCCATCCAGGTGCTCTTCAGGCCTGCCCAGAAGAGCTCTCTTGATCCAGCTAGAACTGGCCAGAACTGACTCACTCAGGAATGTGTAGACTTTGACATCAGGGGCTGCTTTAATTTGCACAATTTCCAAATACCTCTTTTTTCTTCTTTTTCTGATGAGTCATCTCCCTAGACTTGCATTTTAAAGAGATAGATAGTTATCAGATTCCAGAGAAGACATGGTAGAACATTTATATGTCAAAGACACAGAGCTGAGACTTTAGTTTTAGATACCATAATTTGCCTAAACCAAAAAGGAAGGTGTAGGTAAAGTTCTAGTCAAGACAGGATGGCCAGGAAAAACACCTTAAACCAAGGGACAGCTTGCTTTGCTGATTTAAGCCAATGGCTTCTTTATCATAAGACTTCCCAGTGATTTAGTCCTCCCTCTCTTCCAGTGCACAGAGACATACCCCTCCTTACAAATAAAAATGTTCTTTATAGATGTAAATTTATTTTACAAAAATGTTTCAAAATAACCAGATGAAAATCATCCTTATGCCAGAAAGACTTGTTTTTTTTTTTTCATTACTAGAAATGAAACAGTAAGTATTTGCTGTATTGACATACTTAGGCTTAGACCTATGTTTAACAAGAAAGCCTAATAATAGCACTGTGGTTAGACTGTAGCCTATTTTTCCAAACCATCATTTTATTATTAAGGAAACGAAGGATCAAATACCTTTCATTCATCTGATATGATCCTTTAAAACACATTCCACTAATAAGTCCCATTTGGAACAGCTGAAAATCTTTTAATAAAACTTTTTAAAGATGAGCTCATGGCTTAGTGTAAATTTCACAAGCTTAATTAGGTCAAATGGAAGGAACTCAGATGAGTAGTTGCCCAATCAGAGCCCATTATTTGTAAGTCATCAGACCCCTCCGTGACCTTAAAACTCCACTCTGACCTAATTATTGCAAACCTATATACAAAAAAGTGAAAGGATTAATTTTCATTCATCAACCTCTCAATCCCAGATTTTCAAAGAAAAAACCTATGTAAGGAATACTTGCCAAAACCAGACAGGAAAATTAGAGCCTGCATACTTAAGAGTCAAATTTGTTCCACTACAGCCAGGTGGCATACAATTACATCATTTGGTTCTTCATACACTCTAGAACTGACTAGGACAGAGTTTAGCATAGAAAAACTGTAAGAAATAGGTTCTGAAACATAGAAATTGCAAAGTTTAAAAGGCTATGAAAAAAACTAATGCAAATGAGAGACTCCCCTCCCTTTGTTTTAAAGAAATAGACCCATCAGAGAAATGCAAATCAAAACCACAATGAGATACCATCTCACACCAGTTAGAATGGCGATCATTAAAAAGTCAGGAAACAACAGGTGCTGGAGAGGATGTGGAGAAATAGGAACACTTTCACACTGTTGGTGGGACTGTAAACTAGTTCAACCATTGTGGAAGACAGTGTGGCCATTCCTCAGGGATCTAGAACTAGAGATACCATTTGACCCAGCCATCCCACTACTGAGTATATACCCAAAGGATTATAAATCGTGCTGCTATAAAGACACATGCACACGTATGTTTATTGCAGCACTATTCACAATAGCAAAGACTTGGAACCAACCCAAATGTCCAACAATGATAGACTGGATGAAGAACATGTGGCACATATACACCATGGAATACTAGGCATCCATAAAAAATGATGAGTTCATGTCCTTTGTAGGGGCACGGATGAAGCTGGAAACCATCATTCTCAGCAAACTATCGCAAGGACAAAAAACCAAACACCACATGTTCTCACTCATAGGTGGGAATTGAACAATGAGAACACTTGGACACAGGAAGGGGAACATCACACACCAGGGCCTGTTGTGGGGTGGGGGGAGGGGGGAGGGATAGCATTAGGAGATATGCCTAATATAAATGATGAGTAAATGGGTGCAGCACACCAACATGGCACATGGATACATATGCAACAAACCTGCACACTGTGCATGTGTACCCTAGAATTTAAAGCATAATAAATAAATATAAAAAAATAAAAAAAGAAATAGATGTTCTGTAAAAATATACACAATTTTTACAGACAAATACATTTATAAGTTGTTTTTATCTTAAAAATCGGGGATATTTCATATTTATAACTAATTATTGAACCTTAAGTTTTCTTGGCCATTTCTAGGCTAACAAACTACGAATCATGTAAACTAAGCCAAAGTAGAATAGACATAAAAGTCCTGAACACTTCAACTTCCTATCCTTCAAGAAGTATACCTCGCAAAGCTCATTTGAGAGAGGAAAAGCTTTCCTCCACCCTCTGTTTTACAGCGCTGAGGCTTCTCATCACATTTCTATGACTTGTAGCTTAAATCCATGTTACATGGTAACTGGCATTGTTAGTGCTTCTCTTTTAACACAGTAGGAATTAATCAATTTGGTGGTGTATTTAATTAATTCTATCACTAGAGGATTGTAAAATTTACATATATGAATATCTCACTTTAGAGGCCACTTAATTTTTTTCCAAGGGGATATTTGACTACATTTCACTTGTGTCTTATTTAATGATTTTATAATTTAAACCCTAAATTATAAATCTAGAATTTAGAAAGTATATTTCCCCACTGGATTACATTTTTGGAAATATTATTTTATATGTGCACAAATATTACAAAATCACTGTAGACACCTGAAAACTATATTATCTTTTAAAGGCAATATTTACATTAAACTGGTATAACAAAATTGTTTGGTGCATTTTTTTCCAGTACATTTTGTATATATTACATGTTTAACCTTTTTTTATTCAGCAAATAATTTTTGAGTATCTACTAAGTGCTAGGTTCTGCACTACTAACTGAATTTAAAGAGTGAAATAACAGACATGGTCTCAGACAATAAAAATTAACATTAGGTCACCTATTTATATATTTTAAAATGGTAATTATGAAAACTTTTTGAGATTTTTAACTAGATAACATTATAATAATACACTTGATGTTGTTAATATTTGCCAGTGAGCAAAAAAGAAAATAAAAAGATGGTTTTATTCAATATACACTTTAAAATTGCAGAAAATAGTCAAGTTTCTCTGCTTTGCGGTTGAATGTCTATGTGTTTTTCTCCGCAACTTGCCTTTTGTGGAGTGAAACAATTATTCTTCCAGCCCAATAAAGGCAGAAGAGTAACAATAAATCTAATATTTTAAGTGCTTCTCAAAAGATAGTAAACATATTATTTCAGAATACTGAGTTCAATAAGTTGACCTACAAAAAAAGCCAAACTGACAGTATTACTGAATAAGGAAAGGCCCAAAGAGACAAAATACTTTTTATTTTGTAACCTCGGTATGACACAACTTACCCTAACTATAAAGACCCTAAATTACCAAGATGGGTGCTTATAATAAGGAGAGTAAAAAAAGTCATTTGACTTTTAGCTTTTTTATTTCTCTCAGAATAAAAAGTGTCTAAGGAGTTTATAAAGAAGTTGATACTATAAGTTAGTACTACAATGACAGCACTTTTCAAGAAAAGACTTTTTTCTCTCTTACAAATATCACGTTAGCAGTATTTGTTTTCTCCAGAAATAATGAGGAAATAAAAACATAAGTATGTGGGTAATTAGTGTAGTTTCTTAAAGAAATGAGTTAGGCAACAGGCTAATAATGTATACTTCGCTGGCTTTTGAATGCCAACAATCATATTCTTTATAAGGCACAGAGAAGATTTTTCTGAAGAATAAGTATGTGAACCTGAAAAGTAATCACCACTTGGTAGTGACAATATGGATAGGGTGAAGGGCGTCATCAAGAAGCAATGAAAAGATACATTTGCAGTTCAATTTGAAAACCATGATGTTTAATACATATAGTAATAAAGAATACTTTCTCCTATTTCAAAATTATTTTAGAATTTAAGATAGAAGCTAAAATACCTAGGGATAATGATATGACTATCAAAGATTAAAAATTAAAGGACATTTTGAGTATTAAAAGAATGAGAACTTATTACCCAATGAACAGGGGTTAATTCATTATGCTCCATATCCATTGAATTAAAAGACAGGCCCATTACCTGGATAATTTGAAAGTTTAATTTTATTTAAAAGTCTTGTTTCATTCATCAAGCTAAAGGATTAGCTCCCAGAAATATTCTAGAATTGCATATCCCCAACTCTGTAGGAAGTATAGAAAGAATGTTATAAGGGCCACCATCTAAACATTATTATGTAAATAATTTAGTACCATTCCATTTGCCTTTGTAGATTTAAAACTGTAATGGCTTTCTCATATTAGGAAACATCACTTTTCAAAACCCAGATAAACATAGTACATTGCAAGAGAATAATTATTTTCTTTATTAAAAAAGAAATACTGGATGCTAAGTCCAAAAGACATAAATTATTTTATACTAATAACTACTAATATTTTATTCATTAAAATATAAAGGTCAAAGATTTCAAAATGATCTTTAAATGATTAATAACATGTTGATCTTTTTCTTCTTTCTGTAAACCTTTTTGAGTCTTAAAAATACTAAACTATACAAGCAATATTAAATAGTATATAAACTTGGATTAAAATATTCAAATTTACTAGAATGTGGACATTGGAAAGAATGAAAATAAACAGAAGCATAAAGCAGCAGATATAAAATTAAGAAAGCAACTAAGAGTGTTTAAAGTACATATTCATCTGTAGTCTAATGTCTACCATAAACAATGACTCTTCTCAGTAAAACACAAATTGTTCATGAAGGGAAAAAGCATGTTGTATTAGAGAATATTCAACATAATTTTTTTAGTACTAACTTGTGCCTGGAGTATTATTGGTTTTTCTATTATGAACTTATGCACTTGTTAATTTTTTTCATAAAAATTATATGTACAACTCCATTCAAAAGCAGTTTTTGGTGGGTTTTTTTTTTTTTTTGAGACAGAGTTTTGCTCTTTTCACCCAGGCTGGAGGGCAATGGTGCGAATTTGGCTCACAGCAACCTAGCAACTTTTGCCTCCCAGGTTCAGGTGATTCTCTTGCCTCAGCCTCTCGAGTGGTTAGGACTACAAGCACGCACCACCATGCCTGGCTAATTTTGTGTTTTTAGTAGAGACATGGTTTTGCCATGTTGACCAGGCTGGTCTTGAACTCCTGACCTGAGGTAATCCACCCATCTTGGCCTCCCAAAGTGCTGGGTATGGGCAAGAGCCACCATACCTGGCCTCAGAAGCAGTTTTTAAAAGCAAACACAATATAACACCAAAGTTGAAAAATCTATGCTCACCCAAGGATGCCAGGTTTAATAAATTATTTATAGAATACTGCATCAAAAATAAGACAATAACCCAAAATATACCATTAAAGATGTATCCACTCCTACAACTGGAGATAATTAATCTATCTAGTAGCAAATGATACTTCAATCAGTTTCAGCATGTCTGAAATCTTTAAGGACAAAAGTGATAAAACATGACTTCATTCTTCATTAGACTCTTAGAACACTTGAAGGAAAATAATTTCTGAAGCACAAAGAAGTAAAGAGGTGTAATCTTTCAAAAAGATATTCAGTGTTCAAAATCCAAGAGTGCAATATCAGGCTGGGTGCGGTGGCTTATGCCTGTAATCCCAGCACTTTGGGAGGCCATGGTGGGTGGATCACCTGAGGTCAGGAGTTCAAGACCAGCCTGGACAACAAGATGAAACTCTGACTGTACTAAAATTACAAAAATTATCCAGGCATCGTGGTATGCACCTGTAGTCCTAGCTACTTGGGAGGCTGAGACAGGAGAATCGCTTGAACCTGGGAGGTGGAGGTTGCAGTGAACCGAGATCATGCCACCTCACTCCAGCATCAGTAACAGAATGAGATTCCATCTCAAAAAAAGAAAAGAGTGTAATATCGGTATACACAGATAATATACTGAATGAAACAAATAGAATAATTTGAAGAGGTATCTTGATGAACAAGGAGTCATTAGAAAGGTTGTATTCATGTCTTTGAAGGAAATTGCAATGTGAGAAATTAATACTTTGACTACTATACTAAAAGTTTATTGCTAACATGTATTGAGTTATTAACGTGTGTTAGGCAGAGTACCATATAATTTACAAGTGTTATCTCATTTATTGTAGGTAAAATGTAATTTCGAACTCTGGGAGTATAAATGAATTAGATAGAATAAAATTCTATTTAAATGGCCATCAGTAAATCGGTATCTAGGAACAGGGTGATACAGTGCCCAAGTTTTCTATTCTTACTAAATGTTGTGTTTCATTTTCAATGTTTTCTTGGATATTGCTCTTTTTTGGTGATTTTGATTTTTTTTATTTTAGAAAACTAATAAATTGACTCTTCTTGGTACTGACTCGGGTTTTATAGAAGAAAAAGTAATTAAATTATGTATATTTACCTTTACCTCATTTTTTCTCTTTTAAATTTACTTTAATTGACATATAATAAATGTACATGTTATGGGGTACAGAGTGATATTTTGATATATTTATGCAATGCGTAAAGATCAAGTCAGAGTCATTATCATATCCATTACCTAAATCATGTATTATTTCTTTGCAGTGAGAATATTCAAAATCTTTTATTTTAGTTATTTGAAAACACACAATAAATTCCCATTAACTACAGTCACCCAGCAGTGCTGTAGAGAACTAGAACTTCTTCCTTCTCTCCAGCTGTAATTTTGTATGTATTAACCACATTTTTCTTATACTCTTCTTTCTCCTACTCTTTCCAGGATATGGTAACCAAAACTCTACTATCTACTTCTACGAGATTAAAAATTTTAGCTTCCATACATAAGTGAGAACACGTAGTTATGTGGTGTTTATGTTTCTATGCCAGGCTTATTTCACCTAACATAATGCCCTCCACTTGCATTCTTGTTGCCACAAATAACAGGATTTTGTTCTTTATTATGACTAAATAGTATTCCATTATATATGTATGTCACATTTCTTTATCCATTCATCTGTTGATGGACACTTTTGTTGATTCCATATCTTGGCTATTGTGAATAGTGCTGTAATAAACATGGGGGTGCAGGTAAGTCTTTGATATACTGGTTTTCTTTCCTTTGGATATATACTGAAAACCATATGATTAAATTAATAAACACAATAAAAGCGTTTGGCAAAATTAAATATTCTTACATGACAAAAAACCTCTCAACAATTTAGTATAGAAAATATATGCCTTAAAACAGAAGGACATAAAGGACAAATCTACAACTAAGATCATACTGAGTGTGGAAAAGGTGAAAGATTTTACTGTGAACAAGAAAAAGATTTTACTGGAACAAGAAAAGGATGCCTATTCTCACCAATCATATTTCACATAGTGAAAGTCTTAGCCAGGACAATTAGGTGAGAGAAAGAAATAAAGGACATCTGAATTGGAAAGGAGACAGTCAAATTGTCCCTGTTTAAAGACAATGTGATCTTATACACGGAAAAAAATAAGACTCTACCAAAAGCTTCTTAGGGTGATACATGAAATTAATAAAGTTGCAGGATATAAATCAACATACAAAAATCAGTAGCATTTCTATATATTGATAGTAAACTAGCTGAAACAAGAAATTAAGAAAGCAATTCCTTTTACAATAGCTACAAAAATGTACTTAGAAATAAATTTAACCAAGGAAGTAAAAGATTTCGACAACAAAAATGACAAATATTAATGAAAGAAATTAAAGAAAACACAAAAAAGGAAAGACATCCACGTTTATAGATTGAAATAACTAATATTCTTAAAATGACCCACTATCCTATGTGATTTACAAATTTGGTACAATCACTAGCTTGTATTTTTAAAAGCACCTTTGTTGCATATTCTTAAGATATTCAATGACAATGCCCGGATTTAAGTTTGAGGTATTATTATATCTATTTTATACTGGGCACAATATAATGTTATCAGAGGTAACGGTTTTGATTGGTCCTAAGTCATACAGTAATATATACATTGTGATTTATAGACATGCTATCTTTTAATACTCAGGCATTTAGAAAGTTCATTTAGACAAAGTTATAAAACCTTGCCGTCCTTTCTGCCTATATCACCTAAAAATCCTAATTTAAGAGGTAATAACATTTTTTATTTGATATACAATTTATCAACACAACAAAAATCTAACAATTATCATGTGCAGAGTGTGAAAATCTCATCAGATTAAGGAACACAAAGACATCTTTTTCATATTTCGAATGTAAAACTGTTTTGGAAACTGTTATTTTTAGAAACAGTTAAAAACATTTTTTCATTAGTTTTTCATGTAAAATTGTGACAACCAGCATGAAATAACTGTCATCACAGAAGCATGGTATATTCGATTCCAAAACATATTCTTTGTAAGTTTTAATATATTTATGTATTATTTATACTTAGATTGTAACCCATAATGTACAGATATTATTTTTCCTTCAACTCTTAAGAATATTCTTAAATAATAAAATTAAAATTAATGAATTATAATTTTTGTTGCTTGGGAAAAAGAATAGACACACACGTGACAGTGCATCATTTCACCCCATCATTTCATCTCATCATTTCATCTCATCATTTTATCTCATTTCATCTCATCCCATCTCATCTCATCATTTCATATCATCTCATCATTTCATCTCATCATTTCACCAAATCTCATCTCATCTCATTTCCATTTCATTTTCATTATTTCATTTCATCATTTCATTTCACTATTTCATTTCATTTCATCTAATTTCATTTATTTCATTATGTCATTTCATATAATCTCATTTCATCTCATCTCATATTTTTGATATCATTTTTCATATCATTTTTCATCTCATTTCATCTCAATTCATCTCATCATTTCATCTCCTCATCTCATCATTTCCTCCTTTCATTACAACATTTCATCTCATTTCTTCTCATCTCATTTCAATTTCATTATTTCATCTCATTTCATTATTTCACCTAATTTCATTATTTCATCTCATCTCATCTCAGTTCATCTGATCTCATTTCATCTCAGCATTTCATCTCATCAGTTTTCATCTCATCATTTAATCTCATTTCATTTCATTTGATCTCATCATTTCAGCTCATTTCATGTCACATCTATTCATTTCATCATTTCATTTCAAGATTTCACCATTTCATCTCATCATCTCATCTTTCAATTTCATTTCAATATCATTTCATCATTTCTTTTCATTTCATCTCATTTCATTATTTCATTATTTCATTTCATTTCAATTCATCTCATCATTTCATCTCATTTTTCATCTCATCATTTTTCATCTCATCATCTCATCATTTCATCTCATTTCTTCTCATCATTTCATCTCATCATTTTATCTCATTTCATCTCATCTCATTTCAATTTCATTATTTCATTTCATTTCACTTCATTTCATTTCATCTCATTTTATCTCATCTCATTTCATCTCATCATTTCTTCTCGTCTCATCTCATCATTTCATCATTTCATCTCGTTTCATCTCATTTCATCTCATCTCACCTCATATCATCATTTCATCTCATCCTTTCATTTCATCTCATCGTTTCATCTCCTCATTTCATCTCATCTCACCTCAGCATTTCATTTCACCTCATCATTTCTTATTTCATCTCATTTTATCTCATTTCATCTCATATCTCAATTCAATTTTTCATTATTTCATCTCATTCATTTCATCTCATTTCATTACATCTCATCATTTCCTCTCATCATTACATCTCATCTCATCTCATCATTTCATCATTTCATCTCATCATTGCATCTCATCATTTCATCTCATTTCATCTCATCATTCATCTCATCATTTCATCTCATCATTTCCATTTCATTATTTCATCATTTAATTTCATCATCTCATTTAATTTCACCTCATTTCATTATTTCATTTTTTCATTTCATTATGTCATTTCATTTCATCTCATTACATTTCGTCTAATTTCATTTCATCTCATTTCATCTCATCATTTCATTTCATCTCATCTTTTCATCTCATCATTTCATCTTATCATCTCATCAACTCTTTTCATCTTATCATTTCATCATTTCATCTCATCACTTCATTTCATCTCGTATCTTCTCATCTCATTTCAATTTCATTTCATTATTTCATTTCATTATTTCATGTCATCTCATCTCATCATTTCATCTCATCACATCTCATCATTTTATCATTTTATTTCATCATCTCATCATTTCATCTCATCTCATTTCAATTTTATTTATTTATTTCAATTTCATTTCATTATTTCATTTCATTTCATCTCATCAGTTCATCTCATCATTTCATCTCATCATCTCATCTCATCATTTCATCTCATCATTCATCTCATCATTTCATATCATTTTATCTCATCTCATCATTTCATCTCATTTCATCATTACATTTCATCTCATTTTATGTCATCATTTCATGTCATCATTTCATCACATCTCATCTCATTTCATCTCATCATTTCATCATTTCATCTCATTTCAACTCATTGCATCTCATCTCATTTCCATTTCATTATTCCATTTCATCATTTCATTATGTCATTTCACCTCATCATATTTCATCTCATTTCATCTCATCTCATCATTTCATCTCATCATTTCATCTCATTTTATCTCATCTCATCTCATCATTTCTTCTCATCTCATCATTTCCATTTCATTTTCATTTCATTATTTCATCATTTCATTATTTCATTTCATCTCATTTCATTATTTCATTTCATTATGTCATTTCATTTCATCTCATTACATTTCATCTCATTTCATCTCATCATTTCATCCATCATTTCATTTAATTTCATCATTTCATCTCATGATCTCATCTCATCATCTCATTTCATCTCATTATTTCATCTCATTTCATCTCATCTCATTTCATCATTTCATTTCATCATTACATCTCATCATTTCAACTCATCTCATTTCAATTTCATTTCAATTTCATTACATTTCATAATTTCCTTTCATTATTTCATTTCATTTCATCTCATTTCATTATTTCATTTCATCTCATTTTTCATCTCATCATTTTTCATCTCATTTCATCTCATCATGTCATCTCATCGTTCATCTCATTTCATCTCATTTTATCTCATTATTTCATCTCATCTCATCTCATTTCAATTTCATTATTTCATATCATTTCATTATTTCATTTCATTTCACCTCATCATTTCATCTCGTTTCATCTCATCATTTCATCATCTCATCATTTCATCTCATTTCATCTCATCTCCTTTCAATTTATTTTCAACTTTGTCATTTCATCTCATCATTTCATCTCATCATTTCCACTCTCCATTTCATCTCATCATCTCATCTCATCTCATCATTTTGTCATTTCATCTCATCATTTCATCTCATCTCGTCATCTTATCATTTCATCTAAGTGAAATGACATAATGGAATCATGAAATGAAAGGGATAGGATGCCCTCAGTGATGTTAAATTTAAAAATTGTTTCTTTTCATGCATGCATTTTTATATTTATATGTATTTATATTTATATTTACTAATATTTCTTTTTACTTATTTTTATTTATATTTTTACTTATTTCTTTATTCATAGACAAGGTCCTGTTCTGTGGCCTAGGCTGGAATGCAGTGGTGCATTCACAGTTCACTGCAGCCTCGAGAAAATCTCCCACATTAGCCTCCCAGGTAGCTGGGACCCCAGGTGCGCACCACCACACCTGGTTAATATTTTATTATTTGTAGAGATGAAGTCTTGCTATTCTGCCCAGGCTGGTCTCAAATTCCTGGGCTCAAGCAATCCTCCTGCACTGGCAACCCAAAATGCTGGGATGACAGATATGAGCCACAGTGCCCAACCTATTTATTTATTTATTTAATAAGGACAAGGTCTCACTATGTTGCCCAGGCTGATCAACTCCTGGACTCAAATGATTCTCCAAACTTGGCCTCTCAAAATGTTGGGATTACAGGTATGAGCCACCATGCCTGGCCTAAAAATAGTATTATATTTTTGTATCATATAATTTTCAATTAGGTAATATGAATATTCTGTACAGGAAATACGCCCTTAATTACATAGGAATAAACATTTGTTACACTGAGAAAAATCTAATAGAGCTAAAAATAAAAATTAATTTGGAAAGGTAATTAGATAATGATACATTCTTACATTTATACATTCTTTCATATATTCATATATTCTTTTAACAGTATCAATGGTTTGGAGTTATGTGTACAAAACCATGACCTATATGTAATACAACTAATAACAGGCATTTACAATTCAAGGCATATTATATACAAAGCTTTAACTTCTTATCAAAATATTTTGTTTTTTTTCTTTCTGTTTTGGCAGATACTATGAACACAACATTCAACTCACAGACACCATGGAGCCCTTACTAAGCATAAAGTACTGTGAAAGGCCAGGGCTAGGACAGAACTAAGACAGGGCCAGGGATAGGACAGAACAGGGGCAGGGTCATGGCCAGAGAAAAACCAGGGGCAGGGTCACGGCCAGGGACATGAGAGGACCAAGGCCAGGGCCAGAAGCAGGGCAGAACCAGGGCCAGGGCAGGGACATGGCAGGGCCAGGGCCATGGCAGGATCAGGGTCAGCAGAAGGCCAGGGCAAGGCTAGGGTAGCACAGGGCCAAGGCAGGGCAGGGTCAGTGTAGAGCAAGGAACGGGTCAGGGTATGGCAGGGCAGGGACAGGGAGGTCCAGGGCCAGAGTCAGGTCCAGGACATGGACAGGACAGGGCCAGAAATATGGCAGGACCAGAAAGGGGACAGGGCAAGGGCAAGGCCAGAGAAGGACCATGGAAAAAAACATGGCCAGGGAGGGTCCAGGGCAAGGGCAAGGCCAGGGCAGAACCAGAGCCAGAGCAGGCCAAAGGCAGGGCCAGGGCAGGGCAAGGCCAGGGTAGGGCGGGGCCAGTGTAGGGTGAGGGTAGGGCCAGGGTGAGTTCAGGGCCAGGGCAGGACTAAGATAGCACAGGGCCAAGGCAGGGCCAGGGCAGGGCCAAAAGGAGGGGCCAGGGCCAAGCATGGCCAGTGTCAGACCTGGGGATTGTCAGGGCCAGGGTCAGGGTCAAGGCTGGGCCAGGGACAGGGCCAGAGCAAGGCCAGGGTCAGGGCAGAACCAGGACCAGGATAAGGCAAAGCCAAGGCCAGGGCAGGGCAAGGCCAGGGCAAGGCAAGACCAGGGAAGGGCAAGGCCAGGGTAGAAAAGGCCAGTGTAGGGCCAGGTCAGGGTAGGAGAAGGCCATGGTAGGGCCAAGGCCAAGGCAGGGCAGGGCTAGGGTAGCACAGGGCATGGCCAAAAACAGGGCAGGGCCATAACAGTGGCAGGACTAGCAACAGGGCCAGGGCAAGCGCTGGACCAGAGCATGGTGGGGACAATACAGGGCCAGGACAGACGATGGCAAGGCAGGTCCAGGGCCATTTCATGGACTCGGTAGGCCTGGGGTCAGGCCAGGGCAGGGCAAAGGCAAGACCAGGGAGAAGGCAGGGCCGGGGCCAAGGCAGTGCCAGGGCAGGGCAGGACCAGTGCAGGGCCAATGCAGGGTGAGGGCAAGGCCAGGGCATGGAAGGGCAGGGCAGGACCAAGGAAGGGCCAGGAGAGGGCCACGGCAGGGTCACGGCCAGAAGAAGGGTATGGCTGGGGTCAGGAATATGGTAGGACAAGGGCTGGGCCCAGGCTGGGACACGCAGGGCAGAGCATGATCTATGCAAGGCACAGCCAGAGCCAGGCCATAGAGATGGGAGGGCAACACCAAGGCAGAGTCAGGGTAGATCCAGGGCTGAGCAGAGTCAGGGCAGGTCCAGAGTAGAGGCAGAGCTAGGGCCCAAGCAGGGCCATGGTAGCACCAGGGCAGAGGAGGGCAGGGCAATGCAGGACTGGGCCATGGCAGTGCCTGGTCAACTCCGGGGCAGGGCCAGAAGCAGGACAGGGCCAGGGCCAGTGCTCAGGCCAGGGACAGGGCATGACAGGAAGTGCCAGAGCAGGGCTGGACCAACGTTGGGGCAGGGCAAATCAGACCAGGACACTTCCAAGTCCATCTCTGGCCCTGCCTTGGCCCTGGCCCCTTCCTGGCCTGACCTTGTCCCTGGCCCTGCCCTATCCATGCCCTGTGTGTTTGACCAGTGTTTTATAACCAGAATCCTACAAGAAACTTAAATTAGTTCTTTTTGTGCATTTTTAGTAGAGATGGGGTTTCACAATGTTGCCCAGGCTGGTTCCAAACTCCTGAGCTCAAGCCATCTGCCTGCTTTGGCCTCCCAAAGTGCTGGGATTACAGGAGTAATCTGGCCAAGTATTTAACTTCTTTATGCCTGTTTCCTACATTTGGAAAATGGGGATGCTTTAAGTACCTAGCACATAGAATTATTGTGAGAATCAATGCCTCACATATTAACATATTGATAAAATTATACTCATAGAACACTACTGGAAGCAAAGATAGTATTAGTTAAAATTTAGTGATTACTGCAAATATTATTACTGTTACAAACATTATAGTATAGACATTACTACTACTACAGTTATCTTAAAAATCTAAAATAAAAATTTTACGTAATAGCCCAATGTAATCTCTCCTGCTCTGTCCTGGCTCAGCCCTAGTGCCGGCTCTGCCCCTAGTCCTACTACATCCCTGGCCCTGACCCTTCCCTGGTCCAGCCGCTGCCCTGGCCCTTCCCATCTTCAGGCCTTACCATGGCCCTACCCTGGTCCTGACCCTGCCCTGGTCTGGTCCTGACCCTGGCCCTACCCCAGAGAAGGGGTATGGCAGAGCCAGGGAAGGGCCAGGGCAAATAAGGGACAGGACACACCCAAATCCAGGAAAGGGCCAGGGCCATGACAGAGCCAGGGCGAGTCCTTGGCAGGGCCAGGTTCCAGGCCAGGGCCAGGAAAGGGTCATGGCAGGGTCACTGTATGGCCAAGGTCCAGGCCAAAGCCAAGGCAGTGGCAGGGTCAGGTCTGCATAAGGGCAGGACCAGAGCCAGTGATACGGCAGGGCCAGGGCCAGGGCCAGGGCTGTGCCAGGACAGAACAAGAGCAGAGCAGGGCAGGACCAGAGCCAGGCCATAGAGAGGGTAGGGCAAATGCCAAGGCAAGGCCAGGGTAGTGCCAGGGCTGAGGCAAGATCAGGGAAGGTCCAGGGCTCAGTCAAGGCTAGAACCAAGACAGGGGCAAAGGCCGGGGCAGATCTAGGGCACAAGCAGGGCAGGCTAGGGCAGGGCAATGGCAAGACCCGGCCATGGCAGGGCCAGCCCAGGATAGAACAGGGCACAGGCAGGGCAGGGCCAGGGCCACGGCTGGGGCAGGACAAGGACCAGGACTGGGGTCCAGGCCAGGGCCAGGGTATGGCCAGGGCAGAGGTAGGGCCAGAGCCAGGGTCTGGGCAGGACCAAGGCAGGTCTATTGCAGGGCCAGGGTTCAGACCAGGGCCAGAGCAGGGCTGGGACAGGGCCAGGGCCAGAACCAGGAAAGGGCAATGTCAGGACAAGGGCCGTGGCAGGACCAGCAATGGGGCTGGGGCCAGGACAGGGACAGGGACAGGGTCAGGGCTAGGGCCAGAATAGCATGCCAGGGTAGAGCCAGGCCAAATTAGGGCCAGGACAGGGTCAGGACCAGGGCTGGGCCAGGGTATGGCCTTAAGTAGCGAAGGGCCAGGGCCAGGGTCCATGCCAGTGCCAGCGCTGGTCCAGGGCAGACGCAGGGCCATGGCCAGATCTAGGACAAGGCTGGGGCAGGGCCAAGGTCTGGGTCAGGGTCAGCAGAAGGCCAGGACAGAGCCAGGGGAGGGACAGGGCCATGGTAAGACCAGGTTACATCAGGGACAAGACACCTGCAAATCCACTTCAGGGCCAGGGTCAGGGCAGGGCCAGTTCAGGGCCAGGGCCAAGACAGGGCCAGGGTCAGGGCTGCCAGGGTCATTGGCAGGGCCAGGGCCATGGCAGGACCGGGGTCAGGAGCAGGGGTCAATGCCAGGCCAAGGCCACACATAGGACCAGGTCTGTGCTAGGGTCAGTGTGAGGGCCAAGGCAGGGTCAGGGCAGGGCCAAAGGGAGGGCAGGGCCAGGGCAGGGTGGAGCAGGCCCAGGGTAGCACAGGGTTAAGGTAGTTCACGACCAACCAGGGCAGGTCTATGGTTGGGGCCGGGGCAGGGCCAGAGCCAGGGCACAGCCAAGACAGTGGCAGCTCCTGGGCAGGGCCAGGGTTAGGACCATGGACATGTCCAAGGCCAGTGCCAGGGCAAGAGCAAGGGCAGGAGCAGGACCAGGTTCATCTAAGAACCAGGGACAAAGCCAGGCCCAGAGCTGGGCCAGGACAGGTACCTGGCAGGGCTAGGGTCTGAGACAGGGCCACGGCAGGACCAGGGCCACAACCAGGTCTGTGCTATGGCCAGGTCCAACACAGTGCCCAGGTAAGGCTAGGGTGAAGGCCAAGGTAGGGCCAGGGCAGGGTCAAAGCCAGGCTAGGGCCAAGGCAGGGCCAGGGCCGGCAAGGCAGGGCCAGAAAAGCATAGGGCCAGGGCAGGGCGGGGCCAGGACAGTGCCAAGACCTGGGCAGGGCCAGGGCCAGGGCCATGGCCACGGCCTGGGGAAGACCAGGTTCGGGGCAGGAGCAAAACAATGGCAAGGACAGTGCAGGTTCTTGGCACAGCCAGGGTCCAGGACAGTGTCAGGGCAGGGCCAAGGCAGGGTCTGGGCCATGGTAAGACCAGCAACAGGGCTGGGGCTAGGCCAGTGACAGGACCAGAGTCAGGGCAAAGGCCAGAGCAGTGCAAGGCCAGGGTAGGGCCAGGCATTTCAGGGTCAGGGCCAGGGGAGAACCAGGGCAAGTTCTCAAGCAGGGAAGGGCCAGGGCCAGGACAGGTCCAGGGCAGGGCCATGACAGGACCAGGGGCTGCGTTAGGGCAAGGGCAGGGCCACAGCAAGGTAAGGGTCAGGGCCAAGGCCAGGGTAGGGACAGGGCAAGAAATATGGCATGACCAGGGGCAATGCCAAGGCCAAGGTTGGGCCAGGGCTGAGCCAGGACTGAGTCAGGGCAGGGCAGGGCAGGGCATGGTATGGCCAGTGTAGGACAGGACAAGAGCCGGTCCACAGAGAGAGCAGAGCTGATGTCAAGAAAGAGCCAGGCTAGTGCCGAGGCTGAGGCAGTGTCAGAGCATGTCCAGGGCAGGGCCGGGGCCAGGGCCAGAACCGAGCCAGGGCACAGCCAAGGCAGGGTAGGGAAGGGAAATAGCACGGCCGGGACAGTGCTGGGACAGGACAGAGCAGGGCAAGGAGATGGTAGCGGCAGGGCAGGGACAGGCCAATGCAGAGCCATGTTATGCCGGGGCCAGGACACCTCCAAGTCCACTTCAGGGCCAGGGCTATGGCAGGACAAAGACCACGGCCAGGATCAGGGCCAGGTCTGTGCTAGGGCCAGCTCCAGAGCAGGGTCTAGCGAAGACTAGGGTGAGGGCCAAGGTAAGGCCAGGGCAGGGTCAAAGGCAGAGTAGGGCCAGGGCAGAGTGATGACACATCCAGAGCGCAGCAGGGCAGGGTGATGGCAAGACCAGGGGCAGACCATTGCCAGCTCAGGGCCAGGGAAAGTCCAGTGCAGAGCCAGGAAAGGGTCTGGGTCTGGGTCAGGGCCAGGAACAAGGCAGAGCAGGGCCAGGGCCATGGCAGAGTCAGGGCAGGTCCTTGACAGGACCAGGTTCCAGGCCAGGGCCAGGGCAGCAGCAGGGGCAGGGCCTGGATAAGGGCAGGGCCAGGGATATGGCAGGACCAGGGCTAGGGCCAGGGCCAGGCCATAGTGAGGGCAGGGCAAAAGCCAAGGGCAGGGTCAGGGCAGGTCCAGGGCAGGTCCAGGGAGCGGCCAGCACCAAGCGGGGCCAAGTCACAACCAGCGCAGGGTAAGGCAGGGCAATGGCACCACTGGGCCATGACAGGGCAAGGTCAGTGCCAGGAGAGGGCAGAACAGGCAGGCCCATGGTGGGGCCAGGGCAGGGATGGGCCAAAGCAGGGCCAGGACATGTCCAAGGCCAGGTCAGGGCCAGAACAGGAGCAGGACCATGACCATTGGCAGGGCCAGTGCCATGACACGACCAGGATCAGGACAAGAGGCAGGGCCAGAGCCAGGGCCAGAGCCAAGGTCAGGCCAGTGCAGGTTCAGGGCAGGGCCAGTGCCAGGGCAAGACCAGGGCAGGGACAGGGTAGCACAGGGCCAAGACAGGGTCAGGATGGGACCAGAGCAGGACAGGGCCGAGAGTCCAAGTAACAGTAGGGCAGGTACAGGGCAAGGCAGGGCAGTACAGGGCCAGATCCACGGCAGGCGCAGGGCAAAGCCAGGCCCATTGCCAATGCACCAGCCCTCCCTACAAGGCTCCTACCACCTGGCCACTGCTGCAGCCCGTCCATCGCTCTAAGCCTGACCCCCAACCCTGGCTGCAGCCGCCTGCCCTCCTAGTGCAGCCGCTCTCCTACCACTCTGGCGCACTGCAGGCTACGTCACTGCCGCCCACCCGCAGCGAGGCGAGCCATGGTGTCGCAGGCTCTAGGTGTCTCCTCCTCTTCCTGGCACAGAGCAGCTGGGCGGGCAAAGCCGGAAAAGCCTAGAGAAAGATGTGAGGGGTGGAAGGGTTAGAGCCTCAACTTGTCATGCCGGCCACTGGGTGGCAGGGGCCAGTTTCAGCAAAGGCACTCACACCCACCCTCCAAAGTCCAGCCTCTCCTTTTGGCCCAAGCTGGGCAGGAACTGGGGTCTGGGGTGGGTGCTGGAGACACCACAGCACCCAGCTCCCCACTCCACAGGAACCATTGGGCCCACTGGGGCTGCACTCCTCGGGGAGCAGGAGAAGCAGAAAAATTCAGACCCAGCCAGCCCTCCGCACCCAGGTGCCAATTCCTGTTCCGGACGCCTCCACGCACAGGGCCCTGTCCCCCGTGGTGTCCCCAGGGGTGCCTGGAAGCCTCTGAGGCACAGACCCACAGTACACAGGCCCAGGAACCACGGTGGGTGTGGGGGCTCTGCCATGCTCAGGATTCCCACGCAAACGCTGCGTGCCCTGCTGCACTCCAGTATGACCAAGAGTGGGTCGCCCTCTGGAGTGTGGAGTCAGGGAGAGGAGAACCACTCCTTCCTGGGATGCCAACTCTGTTGACCGACACCAGCAGTGCAGCCCCTGATAGCACCGAACTCGCCCCCGCTCCACTGCTAGTCCTGCCCTCAATAGCGCCCCCCACCTCCATCCCCCAATGCCGCCAGTAGCGTATAACCGATAGTGCCCTAACCTGTCCTCCTCCATGGGCATTGAAGCCCCAGAAAGCACCCATAACCCACCCTCCCTGCCGTGGGCAGTGCAGCCCTGTACAGTGCTACCAACCAGTACCCCTAATGCAGGCAATGACACCCTGGATAGCGCCCTCAACCCACCCCACACTGCAAAAGGTGCAGCCCTGGATAGCCCCTGTCCTACCATCTGGTCGTCCTGCAGTCTCTGTCACCACCACCACCAACCACAGTGAGGCAAGCCAGTGGGCCACAGGCTCTAGGACCCAGCAGCCAGGCATGGAGCAGCTCTCGCTGATGGTCAGCTCCTACCACTCTGACCACGCTGCTGTCTGTCTCCGTGGCCATCTTCTTTCACTACAAAGGAATAAAACTAGGTATCAATAAGAAAAGCAATTTTGGAAACAATACAATCACATGGAAGTTAAACACTACCCTCCTGAATAAATGACTAGCGGGTCAATGAAGATACTAAGACAGAAATTCAAAAATTTCATGAAACAAAGGGTAATGAAAACACAGTATACCAAAACTTGTTATGCAGAAAGCAGTACAAAGGCAGAGATTTACAGCTATAAGTGCCTACCATCCAAACAAAAGAAAACCTTCAAATAATACATCTTAAAGAACTAGTAAAGAACAAACTAAACCGAAAATAAGAAAATAAATAAGATCATAGCACAAACAAAATTGAAATAAAAAACATACAAGATTAAATGAAAAGTTGGTTTTCTGGAAAGCTAAACAAAATTGACAAACTTTTAACCAGGCTAAGAAAAGAGACAAGATTCAAATAAATAAAATCAACAGATTAAAAAAGGAGACATTACAACTAATACTTCAGAAATTCAAAGGATCATAACTGGCTACTATATGCCAATAAATTGGAAAGCCTAGTAGAAATTGGCAAATTCCTAGATGCATACAACCTACTTAGGTTAAACAATGAAAACATCCAAGACCAGAACAGATTGGTAACAAGTAATGAGATTGAAGCCATCAGAAAAAGTCTCCCAGTAAAGAAAAGCCCAGGAACTGATGTCTTCACTGCTGATGGCTTCACACCAAACAATTTAAAGACCTAGTACGAATCCTGCTCAAACTATTTTGAAAAACAGGAGGGAATACTTCCAAACTTATTCTATGAGACCATTATTACTGTGATACCAAAATCAGACAAAAGCATCAAAGAAGGAAACTACAGGCCAGGATCTCTAATATGGATGCAAAAATCCTCAACAAAATACCAGTGAATCAAATTCAGTAATACATTAAAAAGATAATTCATCATGATCAAGTGGGATGTATCCCTGGGACCCAAGGGTCACTCAACATACAATGTGATACATCATATCAACCAAATAAACGACAAAAACAGTATCATCACGTCAACTGAAACCGAAAAAGCATTTGATGAAATTCAACATCCCTTCATGCTATAAATCCTCAAAGAAACGGGCACAGAAGAAACATACCGCAACATAATAAAAACTACAGGAAAGACACCCACAGCTAGAATCATATGGAATGGGGAAAAATGGAAAGCTTTTCCTCTAAGATCTGGAACATGATAAGGATGCCCCCTGTCACCACTGTTGTTTAACATAGTACCAGAAATCCTAGCTAAAGCCATCAGTGCAGCCCCTGATATGGCCCCCAACCCACCCTGCCCCCTACCACCAGCAGTGTCACCCCCCCAATAGCACACCCAACATACCCAAACTGCCCCGCCTCCCCACACCATGGGCATTACAGCACCCCATAGCGCCCTCAACCCGAAACCGCCACCCCCCCGACAGCCGCACAGTGCAGCCCCGGATAGCACACTTAGCCCACCTCACTGTTGCCAGCAATACAGTCTGGGATAGTGCCCCCAACCGGCTCCCCACCAAAGGCAGTGCAGCCCCGGTTTGGCCCCCAAACCACCCCCCCACCCGCCCGGTGCAGGCAGCACAGCCCCAGATAGCACACCCAACCGGCCACCCAAGACGGGCAGTGACGCCTGAGATAGGGCTCCCAACCCGTCCCAGGCCACCCACAGTGCAGCCTGGATAGCGCACTTACCCCGACGCCTTTCTACGCTCTGGCTGGCTGCAGTGTCCATCGCTGCCACCAACCACAAACAGGGCTGCAAACAGGAAGGATTTTATTCACCGTCCATGCGGCCCCGAGTTGTCCCAAAGCGAGGCAGTGCCCCCAAGGTCTGTGCAGAGCAGAACGCAGCTCCGCCCTCGCGGTGCCACCGGCCCGCCCGCCCGGGTCTCTGCTGAGGAGAACATTGCTCTGCCTTCGCTGTATCTCCGAAGTCTGTGCAGAGGAGAACTCAGCTCCGCCCTCGCAATGCTCTCCGGGTCTGTGCTGAGGAGAACGCAGCTCCGCCCTCGCAAAGGCACACAGCGCTGGCGCCGGCGAGGCGGAGAGGCGGACAGCGGCGGAGAGGCGGCCAGCGGCGGCGCGGCGGAGAGGCGGACAGCGGCGGAGAGGCGGCCAGCGGCGGCGCGGCGGACAGCGGCGGCGCGGCGGAGAGACGGACAGCGGCGGCGCGGCGGCGCGGCGGAGAGACGGACAGCGGCGGAGAGGCAGACAGCGGCAGCGCAGCGGAGAGGCGGCCAGCGGCGGAGAGGCGGACAGCGGCGGCGCGGCGGAGAGACGGACAGTGGCGGAGAGGCAGACAGCGGCGGCGAGGCGCGGAGAGGCGCTGGCGCCGGCTCTGGCGCGGAGAGGCGCAGGCCCAGGCTCCACTCCCCAGCTGTGAAAGGGTAAGAACCCAGGGTGGCTGAGACTAGCTGGGAGGACCTCCCTTCCACAGCTGTGCTCTTGCTCTGCCCATGCTGTCGCCTCCATCTCCACCTCCCTCTCCATCCTCACCACCAGCCCTCGAGTCAGTGGGGAGCTTTCCACTCACCAAGCCCAGGCAAGTGCATCGCGTGAATTTCTCTTGCGCCTCCCGCTAGAGGTAGAGGCGCTGTTGTCACCCTATCTGCTGAGGATATGCTGGGGCTGGCAGGGGCCACCCAAGACCAAGGGTGTCACTGTCTCCATCCTGTGCCCACCCAGTCCTGCCCCCTGGGCTCCCTTCAAATCTTTTTTTTTTTTTTTTTTTTTGAGACAGAGTCCTGCTCTGTCTCCCAGGCTGCAGTGCAGTGGTACAATCTCAGCTCACTGCAATCTCTGCCTCCTGGGTTCAAGCGATTCTCCTGCCTCAGCCTCCCAAACTGCTGGGACTACAGGCACCCACCACCACACCCGGCTAATTTTTTATTTTTATTTTTGTATTTTTAGTAGAGATGGGGTTTCACTATGTTGGCCAGGCTGGTCTTGAACTCCTGACCTCGTGATCCCCCTGCTGCAGCCTCCCAAAGTGCTGGGATTACAGGCGTGAGCCACCACACCTGGCCCCCTTCAAATCTTAACAGAGAAGCCACCAAAGTCTCCTTGGGTCCATCCCATGGATGGGCCTCCTGGGCCCCTCAGACCCTGGGCTTCCCTTGAGGTCCTGGAGCTATGTGGGCTCCAGCTCTGGGAAGGTGGACCCCCATGCATGTGTCCTGCCGTCACTGTCTCTATGAAGTCTGGCTCACACTAAGTGAGCCATAAGGCCTTCTTCAAGGTCATCTGTCCCACTGATTTCAGACTCAGGGCGGAGTGTGAAATCATCTGTCCCCCACAGTGCACTCAGAACCCTGTCTGGACTAGGGCACACACACATGCATGTGCATATGAACACACATATGCATATGCACACACACATGCAAGGCTGCAAGTCTCATGCACACACACACATGCACACACATGCACATGCATGCTCACATGCACAGGCACTCAGGCACCTAGAGCCTTCTCATCCTGCACTTTGAGTCCCCCCTCCCCTTGCCCATCCTTGCCCATCCTTCAAGGCCTCAGTCAAAAGCCATCTTTTACAAATTGTCTCTGGTTGACTTTCCTTTTTTTCCCCTCTTAGAAGAAGCGATGCTGTCCTCAGTCATCAAGCGTTCACTAGGCGCTTGGTGTGTGCCAGGCCCCGATGTGGGTCTTGGGCATGTTCCAGTTCTCACGTCCTCAGGGCTCCTTGGTGAGTCGAGGGTGAGGAGGACACAGAGGCACAGGAGGCCATGGGGCAGGTCTGGGTGCACTCAGGCTCCAGAGCTCAGCCCTCCCTGCTGAGTCAGGGCGAGCAGGATAGACACCTGCTCCTGGAACTCAGTGGGTGAGGTGGACACGCATGCAGGGAGGTACCAGCCTCAGGGGCTATGGAACAGAGAAAGGGAGCTTCCAGGACATCAAACAATTCCTGGAGTGCCAGGGCAAGAGGGGAATCTGGGTGGAGGAAAGTGTGAACAGGGCAGAGGTTGGAGGTGGATGTGGCCCCCGAGCATGTCGGAGGCAACTGAGCTGCTCCTTGACTTTGGGCATCTTTGTTCATCTCTGCATTTGCACATTTGTTGAACAAACCTACTGAGACACTTGTTTTCTTTCCATGGTCCATACATTAGGAATATAGAGTTAGCTTCCTAGGGAACATTTTAAGACATATTCTTAGAGAAGAAACCAGGAGGCATCGTTGTGGGACGTTGGTCCAGGATCTTGGGTGTGTCCTTTGGTCTTTTGTGGGTCAGGTTAGCAGGAATTGTGTCCTGAGGTGTTGGAACTGCAAAGTGCAGGTTCCCTCCTGCCCGCACTGATGCCTTCAGGGAATGGCCTGTCCGTTTTTCTAAGAAGAACACTTAACTCAGCCTTGGCTGACTTCAGCTACCTGTGCTTTCTCCAGCCAGGCTCTGTGTTTTGTGCTTTTACTCTCAAAACAACCCTATTATTATCCGTGTACCACAGATGAGGATGCTGAGCCCCTGAGAGGCTCAGTAGGTGCCTGAAGGCATTCCAGCCAAGAGGTGGCAGAGCCAGGGCCAGCCTGGCCTGAGGACTCTGAAGCTTCCACAGGCACAGCTCCTTCATGCCAGCTCTGTGTCGGGATTTTCTGTGGTCATCACAGCCATCTTCCTGGTCAGCTAAGTTACAGACAGGGTGGAACTAGGATGGCCAAGCTGGAAGCAGAGCTCATTCCTGAGCAGGGCACCCGGGCCCTGCCTATGGTGCTGGGCAGGCTCCTGGTGTGGAGGGTGGGCTCAGATCCTGCTGTCCCTGTGGCTGTGGGAGGCTTTTCTAGGCACCCTCCTGACTGCTAACACCAGGAGGGCCTATGATATGGGACCGCTGCCCCATGACGTGTGCCAGGTTTCTGCACGCGACTGCTGGGAAAGGCTGGCCCTGGGCTGGGTGGACCCGCACTGCCTGCTGGCCCCTGCACCCAGATGGTGCAGCCCACACCCCTCTGATGTCCACCCATGCTCGGCTCTGGGACTTCCCTCCTTCCACCGTGTCTGACCCTGGTTGCCCTTGTTCTGCCACTGGCTTGTAGCAGCCCTTCCTGAAGCCACGTCCTCCAGGGAGATTTGATTATGTCCTGGTGTTGCGACCTCGCTAATGCAATCAGGAAGTTTTCTCAAGACTTCAGCTGCTTTGCTGGCAGCCAGGCCTGACTCTCAGCAGCTCTGCAGGCTGGAAGGGCCCAAGAGACCCCCTCACCCACCTGGTGTCTCCAGCAGCGGGGAGGGCTCCGGGGTATAGCCTATTGCTGCTCTGCTCTCCTCCTTTCTTTGGGTAAGCTCCTTTGCTCTGATTTTATCTGGAATCATCGAGAGCCTCTATCTGTCTAGAAAAAGCACTTAGCAATGAGGAATCAGCACTGCGGAGAATACTCCAGAAAGCAGCCATTTTCCATCAAGATTAGGCTCTTAATTGAAAATTTTAAGAGGAGAGGAAATTAGGGGAGAATCCAGATATTCTCTCCATTATGGTAATTGGCTGTAATCAGAGCCCAAGAGCTGTGTTCAATCCTGGGGGTTCTTCCAGGATTACCAGAGCTGTCATAGTCACCTTCACTGACCTGCACTGGAGTCAGTGGGAGGGGCTGGCGGGGTCCGGGGCTGCTCTGGCAAGTGGATCCAGGAGGGCTGGGCTGGATCCAGGGGGCTGAGTTCAGAGGGGACTCTGCTTAGCAAGTGTGAAACACACGACAGGGCCTTCCAGGCAGAGGGAAGATTGAGAACTGCGGCCGAGCGAGTGCGTCCAGGGGCCCGAGTTTAGTTGAGGGCCTAAGTTTTCCCAGCAGGGCAAGGTTGAGGGTGAGGATGCTGCAGGCCAGTTTTCTATGGCCTCAGAATGAGGACAAGAAGGGGGAGATGGGCCACAGGGATGAGGGTGCCTGCTCCCTGCAGCAGTGTGCACACCACGGCTGTGCAGAGGCAGCAGGTGGCAGGTATTGGGAAGAAGCTCTTCCCTTGTGTGTCCTAGGGGCTGGGCACAGCCTGATGGGCCCCCTTTGCTCACAGTTGCAGAAGCCCATCCATGTAGGGTCCTGCTGAACTGGCTTCCATGGGGCTGGGAAGGACTGGCCTGGCCTCTTTGCTCACTTCACCTTATGGGCAGTGTCCTGCAGGTTTCTGTGAGCAGAGCAGACAGAAAGGAGATGCCCAGTGATGTCAGCTGTCCCCCACAGAGCTTCCTGGAGCCTGGGCTCCAGGCTGAGGGTCCTTGGACAGACGTCATCTCCCTGGCTTCAGCAGAATCACCCACAAACCCACCCTGTGCCCACCCTCCCATCACAGAGAGCAGCTGCTGGAGAAGGCAGCATGAGACTTTGAAGACCTCGAGGAGCAGGAGACACAGGAGACAATGGCCAGGATGGTCATGGTGGCGCGGCTATGCCATCACTGATTTCTGCCTACCTGCCCCCTAAGTCTCACTTGCTACTACTCTCAATTTCCTACTTAATGCTTCGGAGAGCACCAGTCCTGAGAAGAGAGGCGGGATGTTCACTCTCTGGGAGTTGAGATGGAACCCAGGCAGTTAGAAAAAGTGCCACAGCCACGTGCCGAGCCTACTACTTGTCAGGAGCTCAGTGAGTCATCCAATTCCTAAAACAACTGTGCTGCATGTGCTCCACCGCGCCTGGGCGACTCGGGGAAATGGGCTGCGGGAGGCTCAGTGACCTGCCCTGGGTGACATGGATGGCATGGATGCCCTGTCCATGCACGGGGCTTTGCTAGGAGAGGACAGGATCATCCCCAGAAGCTGGTCCTGTGTCCACTGCTCACGGTGGCAGCTGCTTGGGCTGACAACGCCCCCCACCTCCTGATCAGATAGTGATATACTTGGTCCAAACTTCGAAAGTAAAAAAGTTAAAACAGAAAAATAGTCTCCTGGTCATTCATGCTCTCTGGTTCCCTTTTCATTCGTATCTCTTTCTCCTTCTATTTATGGATCTAGTTATTTAAAGCACAGATGGTGACATTCTGTACATATTCTGCATTTTGCTTTTTAAGTCTATTTTATTATGACGTACGATACATATAGAAAAGTGGAAAAAACTGAAATGAATGAATTTTCATGAAGTGAGCATTGGTGTAAACTGAGCCAGTACATTCGGAACCCCCTTCATTCTCCCTCCCAGTTACTGCACCATCCCTCCTGCCACAGGTAAATACTGCCCTGACCTTCATGGTAACTACTTGCTTTGCTTCCATTAGATATTCTATTTTTGTTTCAGCTGTGCTTTTGAACTTTATAGAAATGGATTCATACAGGGTGTATTCCTTCACATTGAGCTGGCTGTGTGCAGCATTGTGTGCAGTTGTTTCATATTGTAGCCGGGAACAGTGACTCATCTTCATTGCTCTTTAGCATTCCATTGTTTAATTGAATCCCAGTTTTCTTTTCCACTGTTGATTGTGTTTAGATTTTTTTCAGTTTGGGGTTACTATGAAGGATGCTATAAAGAGCATTCTTGTACATAGCTCTTGTAGCACAGTGAACACATTTCTGTTGGGTGTAGAGATGTACGTATATGTGTGTGTGTGTGTGTGTGTGTGTGTGTGTGTATATATATATACACCCCAAGGGGTAAAATTGTTGGATGTACATACCTTTGACTTCAGTAAATCATGCCAAACTGCTTTCCAAAGTGGTTGTTCATCTTTTTTTCCTTTTGTTTTTCAGTGGATCCTTATAGTTTGGGATTCTTCCATAATGGTACATATAGATGTGTCACATTTTTTCAAACAGTTGCATAGTTTTCACAGCATGGACATAACATGATTTATTTAACCTGTCTTCTGTTGTTGGACTTCGTTATATTTATACTCAAACAATGCCACAATGAATAACTTTCTTCATAAGTTAATTAAATACTCGATGAAAAATACAGGGTTTTTTTCGGTTTATAAAAGTAATACTTGCTCACTGAGGAAAAAAAATCTGTAAATTACAGAAAAACACAAAGGAAATATATCCTATGATCCAACCAGAAAGAAAACTACTTTTCCTATGTTGTGCGTAGCTCTCTAGTTTTTTCTTTCTTTATATCAATTGGATTTTTTTTTTTTTTTTTTTTTTTTTGAGACAGGGTCTCACTGTGTCACCCAGGCCGGAGTGCAGTGGCATGATCACAGCTCACTGAAGCCTCGACTTCCCAGGCTTAAGTGATCCTCCTACCTCACTCAGCCTCCCGAGTAGTTGGGACCACAGGCATGTGCCACCACATCTGGCTATTTTTAGTATTTTTTGTAGAGATGGGGTTTCGCCATGCTGCTCAGGCAGGTCTCAAACTCCTGGCCTCAAGCCATCTGCTTGTGTTGGCCTCCCAAAGTGCTGGATTACAGGCGTGCACCACCACCCCCGGCCTAATTGAATTTTTATTTTGGAAGAACCATATACCTTTATACATATTCTTTCTATGACTTATTTTCTGTAGTTGAAGTTCAAGGGTGTTTGACAGTGTGATGTGGTTATTGTTAACCTGTATGTGGGGGCATACAGATATGTTGTTTTACTTTTTCCCATAAGGCTAAGATCATCTCCAGAAATATTAATTTTTTAGACAGCGTGATTATAGTTATTTAATACTCATATTTATCAAAATATTATATGTTAAAACCAATAACCATCTGAACTTATTTGAATATAGTTTTTCCTATTCTGTTCTTAGAAATTTCAGTCATTAACAATCTTTACACTTAGAAAGTGTTTTAATTTTACTTTGATGACAGGAATAGTGTTTTTCTCAATGAAATATATAATAGCAGCTTATAAGTGATAACCGTTTTCATTCTGTTTTTAAGAGAAAATACTTTGGTCTTTTTTACCATGATAGTTTAGTGTGTGATGTCATAAAAATGGGCTGTAGCCATTTAAATTCTTGTTCAAGTGCAGAAACTAAGAGACTTCAGTTTCTATTAAGCCATGTCAACTCCTATTAGGAGACCTTTAGTGGTTCCAGTTCCAGGGCCTTCTTGAAGAAATTGTGATACTTGTGTAAGTATATCTAGAGTTTTCTTTCCAGCATTGGCTAAGTCACATAGCTGAGAAATATGATACATGGAGAAGGTTGCTGACTGGATGAACTTTTCTACATTGAATACTTTAAATCTGGATTCTAGAATAAAATATATTGATGCATATTTGAGTTGTCAACTGTTTATGTCTTGTTCTTTTCAGCTTCAACATTGCTTTATGGCATGTGTGGTCGTTTTTCACTCCATTGTTGTTGTTTACCCAGTTTATGGGGGTTGTAATGTTTATCACACTCCTTGGATGATTTCCGAAGGTAAGATATCTGGAATGGTTTTTCTAAAAATGAACTCATTGAAAAAATGTCTTTTATGACAATTTTCAGTGGATGGAGCTGTAACAGACTATTTGTGAATTATTTTCAGTCATGTTTACACCAGAGTTGTCCACACTAGAATTATCCATTCGTTGAACTCTGAGATAGACTCCTTTTTTTTGAGACAGTGTCTCACTCTGTTGTCCAGGCTGGAGTACAGTGGCATGATCACAGCTCACTGCAGCCTTGACCACCTGGGGGCTCAAGCGATCCTCCCACCTTAGCTTCCCAAGGAGCTGGTATTACAAACATGTGCTATCACGCTTGGCTAATTTTTAAAAATTTTTTTGTAGAAACAGAGTCTCCTTATGTTGCCCAGGCTGGCAGGGGTTGGGGGCTGAGACTCTTTCTTTTGTAAAAGTTGGTTCTAAGTGACTACTTTTTAGAGAAGGTACCCTGCCTTTCAAAGACCTCATAAAGACAGGATTTGTACCTTCCAATATAGTTAAATTCACACATTAGACCATTTTATGTTGAAATTATATTAATTTGTGTCCGCTTATATTCAATGACTGTTGGCTAGATCATTCTTAAGAAATGGGAATACAGGAAGAATGGACAATTTTACCCAACTGGGAAAAAAAATTCTACCATCTTCTAATTATTCTGACTTCCTCATAAAAATGTGTTGGATGACACAATCAGCTTTTGTTTGGTGTTATTTATAGAATTTCTGCCTCCCTACAGATCACCCCATCCTGAGATCTGCTGCCTTACACAGTGGAGGCTGTTTTCTGAGTGTCGGATAACTCTGTTATTAAATAAGTGCATATTGAGAATACTCACTCCAGATGCTTAGAGGCATGTTGAGAAGGACAAAGATAGTGCCTCCTGTCAGGTCACTTACATCAGAACTTGCAGGAAACCTGCTTTATACAGCAGTTGACAGGTGTGGAAATTGAAGCTCATGGAAATGAAAGTTAATACACTAAATTTTCAAGGAGTTAATGAAAACTGACATTTCTGCTAAAAACAGCATGTTCTCCCTGTGGGATTTTAAAGGAAGGTCAATGGTAACTGTACAAAGAAGAAATGGACATAGTCTCATTGTTAGCAGTCTGAAAATAGTTGCTAGCACCTCCATGCCCACGCCAATGTCTCCAGCCTCCTTCAAGCACCTTGCTGTGTCTTGGAACCATTGGGAGCCCTCACAGGAGGCCCTTCGTTCCTGTATGCATGTGGTGCCACAAGCTGCTTTGGGCCCGGAGGAATCCTACACATCTCAGAACACTTCCTCACCTGACCCTGTCACCCATCTCTCCCCTTCTCATGTGCTCAGCCCCTTCTTTGACTCTTGAATTTTGAGTTTTTACAGATGTTTGGGAGCTCTTACTCTGACATGAATTTATAATTGTAATGGAGACTCAGACAACGTTGTAGATCACAGAGTGAACTATGCTTTTTAGTGTTAAATGCAATAGCTTAAGATAGAATGTTTTACTTGTTACATAAATGCTGGTTTTCTTTCAGATTTAAGGACATATACTTTATTTTTTTAAGAGATAGGGTCTTCTATGTTGTCCAGGCTGGCTTTGAACTCCTGGGATCAAGTGATCCTCCTGCCTCAGCCTTCGAAGTAGTTGGGACTACAGGCCCACGCCACCGTGCATGGCTGGACACGTAAATTTGAATTGAATGGTTAAACATCCAGCTAGCTGAAAGCATGGCAGACCCTAACAGAAAAGCTACAGTGTGTTTTTGCAACTATGAAGTGAATGGTTTCCTGGGGAAAATTGTGACTTTGTATAACTATTTTTGAAACCAGAATAAATTATATTTCACTTGCATATTCTTAAATTATTAAAATTTTCAGAAGTCAGTGATACAGAAATACTATTTTGCAATGTTAATCTGTTTGAGTCTTTGGAGAAAGTGGTTTCATTGTAGGTACATGATGCACTCTTAATATTTTAAACAAATAGTTCACTCTTCCATTTAAGGGATATCAGTTCCTTGTATAAAATGACTGGATATGTATAAAGCAATTATGTTGTCATGTGCCTTTAACCAGCTTTAGTAATTACTATAATCTCATATTTATGATAGTTTTGTTAGGTGACAGGACCAAATGAAAATATTTTATGTTTTCCCATCACTTTAGATTTTATCATTGTGTAAATTACTGGGTTTTTAGCATTTCCTAATGTGAAGTTTTAATCATTTTTAAGTATACATATTTTTTTTCTGTACCATTTAAATAAAATATTTTTATAACTTTCTTGTGAGTTTTGTTCATGCAAACTTTGGAATGACTTCTGGTTTTTAGCTATTAGCACTTTGAATTAACCATAGAAATAACAAGGGCTAACTCTGTTCTTCAAAGACTTTATAAAGACAGTATTTGCACTTTCAAATGCAAATATATCTACATTAAATCTAAACAGCATAAGCATTGTGACAGAATGTACCTCATGTTGATTGTTTTCTCTGTAAGGTGACTTCTAGTAATGATTTGACTTAATCACCACTTGTGTCTGGTTCAGATCATACCCTGCCATTTACTAGCTGCAAGACCTTCAGTAGTACAGGTTTAGTATCCCTAATTTCAAAATCTGAAACTTTTTGATTGCTGATATGGCACTCAAAGGAAATGCTCATTGGAGCATTTCGGGTTTTGGAATACAATGCAAATATTCCAAAATCCAAAACACTTCTGGTCCCAAGCATTTCAGAGAAGGGGTAGTCAACCTGTAATCTTTTTTCAGCTGTGAAGTGGGAACAATATCTGTCTTGTAGGGTTGTGGGTAATAGTAATAATGTTTGTAAAACACCAATTACAGTGCCTGACACAGTAGGTGTCCACTCAATAAATGGTAATGGAGAGGGAAAGAAAGGGAAAGCAGAATCTAGGATCAGGAATATCACATCCCGTCATGATGTTTGCAAAGGGGAAAGTCAGGCATGATGAGTAGACAGAAGTAAACCCAGTTTGTTGTCATGGGTATGTGAAGGTGTGGCGAGAGTGTCATTTAAAATAGGGAGCAAGGCCAGGCAAAGGCCACAATCAGGCAGCCGAATCAGGCAGTGATGAATCAGGCAGTGATGTGAGGGTCCGGCACAACCGAGGCAGCAGCCCGGGAAGGGAGGGCATTTGGATCACACTCCCTGGAGGGAGCTTGGGTGGAGAGTACCCCAGTGTCAGCCTTCACACATTTTATATCTTTTTTTTTTCTTGAAGAGTATGTTTACAACCTGGATAGAAATCTAAGGCTGGCATGTGTTTAAAACAATTAGTTAAAACCCAGTTTCCCAAGAGCTAATAACTGGCCAATTAGGACGGTATGAAGATTGTCCTATTACTTAAAAAAAAGACTTTTTGAGACAGAGTCTTTAACTTGTCATAACATGTCTGAACAGGATCTAGTTTGAGACACTAAGGAGGATAAGACATCAGTTTGAAAAGAGACCACATCAGTGCAACATTAATTCTGCTAAAATCGAAGCAAGAACAAACATCAATTTATTATGAAGCTTGGGTGAAAAATGGTAAAATCACTAATGCTTCATGAAAAGTTTATGGGAACAATGCCCCAAAGAAATCAACAGCTTACAAATGAATAACTTGTTTTAAGAAGGTATGAGATGATGTTGAAGAGGAAGCCCTCAGTGAGAGACCCTACACACGAATCTTTGAGGAAAAAATTCATCTTGTTTTTGCCCTAATCAAAGAGGACTGATGATTAATAGCAGTTAACAATAGCAGAAACAATAGACAGTGTCATAGACGTCAAATTGGTTCAGGTTACACAATTCTGACTGAAAGCCAACTTTGCACTTGATGGGTGCCAAAACTGTTGTGCCCAGATCAGTTGCAAACAACAGCAGAGCTTTCAATGGAAATTTAAACAGTGGGATCAAGATCCTGAAGCATTTGTTCGAAAAGTTGCAACAAGTTATGAAACATGGATTTTGTAGTACTATCCTGAAGACAGCACAATCAAAGCAATGGCTACCAAGAAGTGGAAGTGGGTCAGTCAAAGCAAAAGCAGACCAGTCAAGAGCACAACTCATAGCAACAGTATTTTGGGGCTCAAGGCACTTTCCTTGTTGACTTTCAGGAGGACCAAAGAATGGTAACATCTGCTTATTATGAGAGGGTTTTGAGAAAGTTACCCAAAGCTTTAGCAGAAAATTCTTGGGAAAACTTCAGCAGAGTCCTCCTCCACCATGACAATGCTTCTGGTTATTCCTGTCATCAAGGGCAATTTTGGGAGAATTTTGATGGGAAATCATTACAGTCCTGATTTGGCTCCTCCTAACTTCTTTTTGTTTCATAATCTTAATCTGTAAAGGATACTCTTTTCAGTTAATGTGTAAAAGACTGCATTGATATGGTTAAATTCTCAGGACCTTCAGTTCCTTAGGGATGGGCTAAATGGCTGTAGCATGACTTATAGAAGAAGTGTCTTGAACTTGATGGAGCTTATGTTGAGACATAAAGTTTATATTTTCAATTCATTTTTTCCAAGTTTTGAAGTCCAAGGGTACATGTGGAATGGCTAGATGGAGTTCATTAATATATGCATTACTTTGCATACTTATTTTTTGTGGTGAGATTTCTTAAAATCTACTCTTCACAATTTTTAAAATGCTATAAATTGTTATTAACTATAATTACTAAGCTGTACAATAGATCTCTTGAACTTACTCTTCTTACTTAAATGAAATTTTGTACCCTTTGACCAACATCTCCCAACCCCCAAATTCCACCTGCTGCCCAGCCCCTGGTAGCCACTATTCTACTCTCTACCTATATGACCTCAGCTTTTATAGATCTACATATAAATGAGATCATGTGACATTTGTCTTTCTGTGCTTGGCTTATGTCACTTAACATAGTATCTTCCAGGTTCATAGCCATACTGTTACAAATGTCAGGATTTCCTTTTTTTTTTCTTTTTTGAGACAGGGTCTGGCTCTGTCACCAAGGCTGGAGTGCAGTGGCACAATCTCAGCTCACTGAAACCTGGACCTCCCAGGCTCAAATGATCCTCCTACCTCAGCCTCCCAAGTAGCTGGGACTACAGGTGCACACCACTGGGTTTAGCTAATTTTTTTTTTTGAGAGAGAGTTTCACTCTTGTTGCCCAGGCTGGAGTGCAATGGTGTGATCTTGTCTCACCCACAACCTCTGCCTCCTGGGTTCAAGTGATTATCCTGCCTCAGCCTCCTGAGTAGTTGGGATTACAGGCATTTTTAGTAGAGAAGGGGTTTCTCCATGTTGGTCAGGCTGGTCTCAAATTCCTGACCTCAGGTGATCCACCTGCCTCAGTCTCCCAAAGTGCTGGGATTACAGGCATGAGCCACCACACTCAGCCTTTTTTTTTTTTTTTTTTGTAGAGTTGAGGTTTTGCCATGTTGCCCAGTTGGTCTTGAACTCCTGGGCATAAGCAGTCCACCCACCATGGCCTCCCAAAGTGTTGGGTTTACAAGCGTGAGCCATTGTGCCCGGCCATTTCCTTCTTTTTAAGGTTGAATAATATTCTGTTGTGTATGTATACAATGTGTATACATACACACATTTTCTTTGTCCATTCATTCATCCATTGATGGATGCACAGGTTAATTCCATATCTTGACTATCATTTGTGTGTTATAGATTTAATTTTTCTCACCAGAAGATCTGTTGAAATCTTAACCCCTGGTACCTCTGATTGTGGCCCTATTTGGAAATGGAGTCTTTGTAGATTTAATTAAGATGTAAATTACAATGAAGTCATACTGGAGTAGGTTGGGCCCTTAACCCATTATGACTGGTGTCTTTATAAGAAGAGGAAAAGAGACACAGATACAAAGGAAAGATGGTCAAGTGACAACAGAGGCAAAGATTGGAGTGATACAGCCACAAGCCAAGGAATGCTAGGGGTTGCCAGCAACCAGTAGAAACTGGAAGAGGCTGGCGATGACCCCCCATTGGAGCCTTCAGAGGGAACTTGGCTCTTCTGACATCTAGATTTTGGACTGCTGGCCTCCCAAACTGTGAGAGAATAAATTTTCATTGTTTTGAAGCCACCCCGTTAGTGGCACTTTGTTAGACCCACCCACTTGGCTGTGCGCAGTGACTCATGCCTGTAATCCCAGCACTTTGGGAGGCCGAGGTGGGTGGATCATGAGGTCAGGAGTTCAAGACCAACCTGGCCAACATGGTGAAATCCCATCTCTACTAACAATACAAAAAATTATCCAGGCATGGTGGTGTGTGCCTGTAATCCCAGCTACTCGGGAGACTGAATCAGGAGAATCACTGGAACCCAGGAGGCAGAGGTTGCAGTGAGCCAAGATCACACCACTGCACTCCAGCCTGGGCGATAGAGTAAGATTCTGTCTCAAAAAAAAAAAAAAAAAAAAAAAAGAAGTGAATACACTGTCTAACTCTTTTGTTCTTAAAAATACTGGGATTACATAGCTACCACCAAAGGTGACTGGGGGCAAAATGTGCTAATTGCCCCTTGGGACCTTCTATTATCTCTGGCAGTTGAGAGTGCCAGTGGGCCTCTGGCCTTGTGAAATCCTGTCAGCTTCACTGGAAGAAGGGAGCTCATGTGATCATTAAAAAGGAAACAATAGGTGCTGGAGAGGATGTGGAGAAATAGGAACGCTTTTACACTGTTGGTGGGAGTGTAAACTAGTTCAACCATTGTGGAAAACCATGTGGTGATTCCTCAAGGATCTAGAACTAGAAATACCATTTGACCCAGCGATCCCATTACTGGGTATATGCCCAAAGGACTATAAATCATTCTACTATAAAGACACATACACATGTATGATTATGGCAGCACTATTCACAATAGCAAAGACTTGGAACCAACCCAAATGTCCATCAATGATAGACTGGATTAAGAAAATATGGCACATATACACCATGGAATACTATGCAGCCATAAAAAGGATGAGTTCATGTCGTTTGTAGGGACATGGATGAAACTGGAAACCATAATTCTGAGCAAACTATCGCAAGGACACAAAACCAAACACTGCATGTTCTCACTCATAGGTGGGAATTGAACAATGAGAACACTTGGACACAGGATGGGGAACATCACACACTGGGGCCTGTCATGGGGTGGGGGGAAGGGGGAGGGATAGCATTAAAAGAAATACCTAATGTAGATGACGAATTAATGGGTGCAGCACACCACCATGGCACATATATACATATGTAACAAACCTGCATGTTGTGCACATGTACCCTAGAACTTAAAGTATTAAAAAAAAAAAAAGAAAAGAAGGGAGTCCATGCCCGAGGGCACCATGCCTCCCTGTCCATCTGCGTGGTACTGAATCATCACTGGGAAGCAGCTGCCTGGTCAGGACGTTTCCAGCTTTTACACTGATTGAGCCATGCCACACAGTTCTCAGGACACAGTGTGGGCAGGGGTAACATGCACCAAATGTGGTGAAAACAGCAGGCCTGGGCACCACCAGAGCACCATTTCTGACCCCTTGTATCTGCCCATCATGGAGCAGGGGTCAGTCGTAAGAAATTGGGGGCCCCGTGTGGCTCAGACTTTTGAAAAAAATCTCACTTGTGGAAGGCAGAACACAGTGTGGGTAAATCTCTCAGTTTTATTTATGTATTTATTGAGATGGAGTCTCACTCTGTCATCCAGGTTGGAGTCCAGTGGCACAATCTTGGCTCACTGCAACCTCTGCCTCCTGGGTTCAAGAGATTCTCCTGCCTCAGCCTCCCAAGTAGCTGGGATTACAGGTGTGCACCACCACACCAGCTATTTTTTGTATTTTTAGTAGAGACGGGGTTTCACCATGTTGGC